>NC_000015.10:23053147-23226874 GCF_000001405.40 Homo sapiens
ACTTCCTGGGTTCAAGCGATTCTCCTGCCTCAGTCTCCCAAGTAGCTGGGATTACAGGCACCTGCACCACTCATGGCTAATTTTTTTGTATTTTTAGTAGAGACGCAGTTTCACCATGTTGGCCAGGGTGGTCTTGAACTCCTGAACTCAAGTGATCTGCCTGCCTCAGCCTCCCAAAAGTGCTGGGATTACAGGCGTGAGCCATTGTGCCCAGCCGAAATGAGTTTCTTATAGGCAACATATAGTGAGTCTTGTTTTTAAAATACATTCAGCCACTCTACGTCTTTTTATTGGAGAATATAGCCTATTTAAATTCAATGTTATTATTGATAGGTTATTAATGCCATTTTGTTACTTGTTTTCTGGTTGTTTTATTAGTCCTTCCTTTCTCCTGGTCTTCCTTTTTGTAGAAGTGATATTCTCTGGTAGCATATTTTGATTTCTTGCTTTTTAATTTTTGTGTATCTATTATAGGTTTTTCCTTGGTGATTACCATGAGGTTTGCAAAAAACATCATCAGTTCTTTTAAACTGATGACAACTCAACTCTGATCACATAGAAAAGAAAAAAGAAAGAAAAATTAACTTTGTCACTGCTGCTTGTTGACTTTTTCTTGTTTCTATTTTTATATTTTTTGTATCTTCACAATTGTTTTACTTATGATTATTTTTGATGGGTTTGTCTTTTAGTCTTCACACTAACGATATGAGTGATTTTTTTTTTTTTTTTGAGACAGAGTCTTGCTCTGTCACCCAGGCTGGAATGCAGTGGTGCAATCTCGGCTCACTGCCAGCTCCGCCTCCCGGGTTCACACCATTCTCCTGCCTCAGCCTCCCGAGTAGCTGGGACTACAGGTCCCCACCACCATGCTTGGATAATTTTTTGTATTTTTAGTAGAGACAGGGTTTCACCGTGTTAGCCAGGATGGTCTCGATCTCCTGACCTTGTGATCCACCCGCTTCGGCCTCCCAAAGTGTTGGGATTACATGTGTGAGCCACCACGCCTGGCCAAGTGATTTTTTTTTTTTTCTGAGACAGAGTCTGGCTTTGTCATCCAGGTTGGAGCACAGTGGTGTGATCTTGATTCACTGCAACCTCCACCTCCAGGATTCAAGTGATCTTGTGCCTCAGGCACCTGAGTAGCTGGGATTACAGGCACGCACCACCATACCCAGCTACTTTTTGTATTTTTAGTAAAGATGGGGTTTTGCCATGTTGGCCAGCTGGTCTTGAACTCCTGAGTTCAAGTGATTCACCCACCTCAGCCTCCCAACGTGACATGAGTGATTTATACTCTCCAATTACAATATTAGAGTATTAGGTATACTCACTTTCATCAGCAGGTTTTGTTCTTTCTGATGATTTCTTGTTGCATATTAGCATCCTTTACTTTCAGAATGAAGTACCTTTAGCATTTCTTGTAAAATTGATCTAGCATTGATGAATTTCCTTAGCTTTTGTTTGTCTGGAAAAGCTTTTATTTCTCCTTGGTGTTTGAAGGATAACTTCGTTGGATACAGTATTTTATGTTAGAAGTTGTTCCACTCAGGACTTTGTATATGTCATTCCACTCTCTCCGGGCTTGTACAGTTTCCACTGAGCAGTCTACAACCAGATACATTGGAGCTTCTTTATATGTTATTTGCTTCTTTCTGTTACTGTTTTTAGGATCCTTTTTTTGTCCTTGACCTTTGAGAGTTTGATTATTATAGGCCTTGAGGGAGTCTTATTTAGCTTGAATCTTTTTGGTGTGTGCTTTTTTTTTTTAACCTTCTTCTATGTGGATATTACTATCTTTTTCTAGGTTTGAAAAGTTACATGTTATTTGCCTGAATAAACCTTCTACCCAAATCTCTTTCTCCATCCTCTTTAAGGTTAATAACTCTTATATTTGTCCTTTTAAGGCTGTTTTCTAGATAGCCTTAAAAGGGCAAATATAAGAGTAAGCATACTTTATTCTTTTATTTTCTGCTCTGTGTATTTTCAAATAGCCTATCTTTGAGCTCAATAATTTATTCCTTTGCTTGATCAATTCTGGAGGCATTCTGATGCATTTTTCAGTTTGCTAATTGAATTTTTAGTCTCTGGGATCATACCACTGCACTCCGGCCTGGGTGACAGAGTGGGACTCTGTCTCAAAGAAAACAACAACAACAACAACAAAACAACAAACAAAAAAACTTGTCTCTGGAATTTGATTTTTTAAAAATTATTTTCATTTCTCTTTTTTTGATAGAATTCTAAGTTTCTTCTTTGTGTTATCTTGAAATTCATTGAGCTTCCTCAAGACAGTTATTTGAATTCCTCATCAAATTATCTTGGGGCAGACATCTTTCCGGCCAGAGGGGGGTTATCTCGAGGCTGGCATCTTCCTGGCGGAGGGGGGTTATCTTGGGGCTAGCATGTCTCTGGTCGGGGAGGAGTTTGGAATGTTTCTGGTTGGAGATGTTATTTGTGGTTTATGGTCGTGCTGACCTTAGCCATTAGGCTGATGCCCTTTGGACTGAGGCAGTTTTTTACCAAGGTAGAAATCAGAATAAAAATTAGAATCAGGAGCTTGTCCAAGATGGCAATGCTCCTGCTCTGTCAGTACCCACTTGGAAGGCACAGTCTTCTTTACTCTTCCCTCTCCTTCCCCCAAGATGAAGGAGTCTCTCCATGACAAACTGCCTGCAGTTGGGCAAGGGGTTATGCGAGCATTCCCATGGCTGCTGTAGCTGGTGTTATGCTGGGTCACACCACAAGTTCACAGCCTCTGAAATGAGTGCAGCACATCTGCTTGGCCAAGGATGCAGTCACTGTGGGCTGGCAGTCACTCAAATTTACTCAGTACCCAGGCCATTTTAGCCAGGCTGTGGTGAAGCAAGCTGGGACTTGGGTTCCTCCTATTGGAGTGGAGGATTCCTCTCTGGCCTGGGGCTGGTTTAAGTGTTCCCTCTGTGGGCATCAGGGGTTTCTGTCCAGTGTTGTGCTCCATTGCGACAGAAAAGCACTGATTTCCAATGTGAAGTTCCATGCTCATTTCACTCTGTCTCCCACAAACACACAGATTGTTTCTCCATACTGTGATGCCTGGGGTTGTTGGTGGTGGTAGTGGTGTAGGCAATGTAACATTGTCCTTCCTACCCTCTTCAATGTGCCTTTATGTTATATTATGTTCAAACCAGGTACTGTTGTCACTCATTTAATTTTTTGATTCTTACGAAGTTGCTTTCTTGGGTAGATAGTTGTTGAATTTGGTGTCCCTGTTGGGGAGATAGCAACTGGAGGGTTCCATTTACCACCTGGTTCCACCTCCCTCCTCTAAGCAAGCTTCTTCAGAAATGCATTATTTGCTGTTTTCTTTCAGAAAATGGAACTTTTAACAGAGAACTCCAATCTAATGTTGAGAATTTAATATTGTTAAACATTGTTCAATAGCAACACTATCTTACTTTTGTTCATAAGAGCTTGTTATGCCAACTTTACATATACTTGTTTAAAAGGTAAATGTAAGCAAGCTTCTTTAGAGATGGATTATGTGGGCCGGGTGTGGTGGCTCACGCCTGTAATCCCAGCACTTTGGGAGGCCAAGGCGGGTGGATCACAAGGTCAGGAGATCGAGACCATCCTGGCTAACACGGTGAAACCCTGTCTCTACTAAAAATACAAAAAAATTAGCCGGGCGTGGTGGCGGGCGCCTGTAGTCGCAGCTACTCAGGAGGCTGAGGCAGGAGAATGGCGTGAACCTGGGAGGCGGAGCTTGCAGTGAGCAGAGATCACGCCACTGCACTCCAGCCTGGGCAACAGAGTGAGACTACATCTCAAAAAAAAAAAAAAAAAAAAAAAAAGAGAGATGGATTATGTGGTATATTCTTTCAGAAATTGGAACTGTTTAACAAATACAGAATTCTGTAATCTAGTGTGGAGAAAATGCTATTGAATGATAGTTCTTACCTTTGTTCACAATGGCTTATGATGATGGGTTTACATAAACACGGTTAAGAGGTAAATCTTCACAAGCTTCTTTAGAGAGGCATTTTGTGCTGTTTTCTTTCAGAAATTGGAACTGTTTAACAAATACAGAACTCTGTAACCTAGTGTTGGGAACATGCTATTGAATGATATTTCTAGTATTTGTTCCCTAAATCTTATAATGAAATGATTACAAACGCTTGTTTGGGAGGCAAATCTAAGCAGCCTTCTTCAGAGCTGCTCATTTGCAGTTTTCTTTCAGAGAATGAAAGTGCTTAATTGCTAAAAACTCTGTAATCTAGTGTTAACAACATGCTATTGAGTGATATATCACACCTTTGTTTCTACAATAAGAGGTTATTGTAAGGTATTTACATATACTCATTTAAAATGTAAATTTAACCAAGCTGCTTAAGAGATGCATCCTATGGTGTTTTCTATCAGAGAATGGAATTGCTTAACACATAAAGACTATGTAGTCTAGTGTTGAAACATGTTATTGAATAATATTTCTCATTTGAGTTGCTACAGGCTTATTAAGTGGTGTTTATGTATACATGTTTAAACGGTAAGCTAAGCAAACTTCATCAGAGATGTATTGTGCCCTGTTTTGTTTTAGAGAACAGATTTGGTATTACATGGACAACTCTGAAATGTAGTCTCAACAACATGTTCTTGAATGATATTATCATTATTCTGAAAATGTTATTGTGAGGTGTTTACATATGTGCATTTAAAAGCTAAATCTAAGGAAGCTTCTTCAAAGATGCATAATTTATTTTTTCCCCCAGAGAAGTATTTATTACACAGAGAACTGGGAATCTAGTGTTGACAACATGCTATTTTATGGTGTTTGTGATCCTTGCTCCACAGAAGTTACTGGGAGGTATTTACATATACTTGTTTAAAGGGAAATATAAATGAGTTTCTCCAAAAATGCATTATGCTGCTTTTGTTCAGAGAATTAAATTGATTAACATATAAAAAACTCTTTTTTTTTTCTGAGACGGTGTCTCATCCTGTCACCCAGGCTGGAGTGCAATGGCGCGATCTCGGCTCACTGCAACCTCTGCCCCCCGGATTCAAGTGATTCTCCTGCCTCAGCCTCCTGAGTAGCTGGGATTACAGGCACGCACCACCATGCCCGGCTAATTTTTATATTTTTAATAGAGATGGGGCTTCACCATGTAGGCCAAGCTGGTCTCGAACTCCTGACCTCAAGTGATCTGCTTACTTCAGCCTCCCAAAGTGCTGGGATTACAGCCACTGCGCCCAGCCAAAGAGCTCTTAAATATAGTGTTAATAACATGCTACTGAATGATATTTCTTATCTTTGTTCCAAATGAGTTATTACAAATTTACATATACATGTTTAAAAGGTAAATCTAAGTAAACTTATTTAGGGATGCATTACATGCTATTTTTTTTTCAGAATATGAAAGTCTTTATTACATAGAGAACTCTGTAATGTAGTGTTGGCAACATTCTATTGAAAGATATTTCTTACACTGAAATACTTTTCCTGAGGGCTTATAATGAGGTGTTAACATATACACATTTAAAAGGTATATGGCAGAAAGGCACCATGGGCTGGTTTCTTTCAGGAAATGAACTATTTATCACAAAGAGATATCTGAAATTTAGTGGTTTTTTTTTTTTTTTTTTGGCAAAGTCTTACTCTGTCACCCAGACTGAATTACAGTGGCACTATCTTGGCTTACTGTAGCGCCTGCCTCCCAGGCTCCCAGCTCAGCCTCCCATGTAGCTGGGATCATAGACATGTACCACCACATTGGGCTAATGTTTTTATATTTTATTTTTTATTTTTAGTAGAGTTGAGGTCTTGCTACATTGCCCAGGCTAGTCTTGAACTCCTGGGATCAAGTGATCCACCTTCCTCGGTCTCCCAAAGTGCTGGGATTACAGGCCTGAGCCACCGCGCCTGGCCTGAAATTTAATTTTGATAACATGCTGTTAAATAATATTTCTTATTTGTTCCAAAGGAGTTATTATGAGGTGTTTACATATAAATACTTAAAATATAAATATAAGCAAGCTTCTTCAGAGATGCGTCATGTGCTGTTTTGTTTCAGAGAATGGAATTGTTTATAACATATAAAATTTAAAAGTCTCTTTTTGACAACATGCTAATGAATGATTTTCTTTTTTACGTTTGTTCCTAAGGATTTATTATGAGGTATTACAAGGCGTGTTTAAAAGGTAAGTCTGGCTGGGCATGGTGGCTCATGCCTGTAATCCCAGCACATTGGGAGGCCAAGGTGGGTGGACTGCTTGAGCCCAGGAGTTCAAACATGGACAACATGGCAAAATCCCACCTCTACAAAAAATGCAAAAAAATTATCCAGGCATGGTGGCATGTGCCTGTAATTCCAGCTATTCAGGAGGCTGAGGTGAGAGGATCACCTGAGCCCAGGAGGTTGAGGCTGCAGTGAGCCACGATTGCACCACTGCACTCAAGCCTGGGTGACAGAGCGAGACTATGTCTCAAAAAACAAACAAAAAACAAAAACAAAACAAAAAAAGGTAAATCTAAGCAAGCTTTGGCGAAGTACATCATGTGCTGTTTTCTTTCAGAGAATGAGAATGTTTAGCACTTAAAGAACTCTGTGATCTACTGTTGATTAACATGCTATTGATGATAATTCTTACATTTGTTCCTATGGCTTATTATAAAGTGTTTACATAAAATATTTAAGGTAAATCGAAACAAGTTTCTTTAGAGATGCACCATATGTTTTTTTTTTTGTTTCAGAGAGTGGAATTATTTATTATTATTTCAGAGAATTCTGAAATTTAGTGTTGACAACATGCTCTTGAATGATATTTCTTATTATTGTTCCAAAGAGGTTATTATGAGGTATTTACATAAGCACATTTAAAAGGTAAATCTAGGCCAGGCACGGTGGCTCATGCCAGTAATTACAGCACTTTGGAAGGCTGAGGTGGATGGATCGCTTGAGGCAAGGAGTTCGAGACCAGCCTGGCCAACATGGTGAAACTCTGTCTCTACTAAAAATACAAAAAGTAGCTGGGTGTGGTGGTGCATACCTGTAGTCCCAGCTACTCTGGAGGGTGAGGAAGGAGAATTGCTTGAACCCAGGAAGTGGAGGCTGCAGTGAGCTGAGATTGCACCACTGCAGTCCAGCCTGGACAACTGAGTGAGACTCATCTCAAAAAAAAAAAGAAAAAAAGGTAAATCTAAACAATTTTTTTCAGAGGTGCATCATGTGCTCATTACTTTCAGAGAATGGAAATGGTTAACACGTAGAGCACTCTGTAATCTAGTGTTGACAACATGCTATTGGAATGAAATTTCTCACATTTGTTCTTAATTTCTTTTTATGTATTTTCTATCTGAGTCTGTTTTTGTTTTGCTCTAAAGGAATACCTGAGGCTGGGTAATTGATAAAGAAAAGAGGTTTATTTAGCTTACAGTTGTGCAGCTTGCCTGAGAAGCAAGTCCCCTGCATCTGCATCTGGTGAGTCTCCTGGGGGGCTTTCACCCCTGGTGGAAGGTGAAGGGGTGCCGTGTGTGCAGAATCACATGATGAGACCGCAGAAGCAAGAGAGCAAGGAGGGGAGTTCCAGGCTCTTTTAAACATTCAGTTCTCATAGGAATTAAGAGTGAGAATTCACTCATTACAGAGAGGATGGCATCAAACATTCATGAGGGGTTTGTCCTCATGACACAAATACCTCCTATTAGGTCCCACCTCCACATTGGGTACAAATTTCAACATGATATTTGGAGGGGATGAATATCCAAACTTTATCATTTCGCCTCAGACCGTCCAAATCATATGTACTTCTCACATTGCAAAATATAATCACCCTTTCCTAATAGTCCCCAAAGGCTTAACTTGTTCCAATCATCAACTCATAAGTCCAAAGTCTAAAGTCTGATTTGAGACTCAAGGTCAAGTTTTTACACCTGTAAGCCTGTACAACTAAAAACAAGTTGTTTGCTTTTAAGATAGAATGGTAAGACATATACTGGGTAAGCGTTCTTATTTCAAAAGTGAGAAATTGGCCAAAAGAAAGGGTTATTGCAAGACTGAAATTGGCCATGCAAGACTGAAACCTATTGGCGAAGGCATTAAACCTTTAAGCTCCAAAATAATATTTGGGTCCATGTACTGTATCCTGGGCACCATGGTGCAAGAGGTGGTCCCCCCAAGGCCTTGGGCATTCCCACCCCCATGGCTTTGCTGGGTGCAGCCCACCTGGCTACTCTCACAGGTTGGAGTTCAATGGCTTTGGCTTTTCCAGGCTGAGGGTGCACACTGCTGGTGGCTCTACTGTTCTTGGGTCTGGAAGGTGGCATCCCTGTTCCCACAGCTCCATTAGCCATTGCCCTAATATAGGCTTTTTTTTGTGGGGCCCTCAACCGCACTATCCACTCAGGATTGCCTGAGTAGAGTCTCTCTTTGGGGGTTCTGCCCTGCAGCAGCCTTCTGCCTGGGCACCCTGGATTCCTGGCACATCCTCTGACACCTAGGTGGAAGCTTCCAAGCCTCCCCCACACTTGCATTTTGCAGACTTAACACATGTGGAAACTGCCAAGGCTTATGACTTTCACCCTTTGGAGCAGCAGCCCAAGCTGTACTTGAGGCTATTTGGGCTATGGCTACAGCCAGAATGGCTTGGATATGGGAGCAGCATTCCAAGGTGCCACAAAGCTGTGGCACCTGGGGCCTGGCACCCAAAAACATACTGTCCCCCTAGACCTCTGGGCCTGTGATGAGAGAGGTGTCCTTGAAGATTTCTAAAATGCCTCTAGGGCTTTCCTGCATTGTCTTGACTATTAGCACCTGGCTCCCTTTTGTCTCTGCCTATGTCTCTAGCAAGAGATTGCTCCACTGCCCCCTTGAATTCCTTGTCTGAAAATGCTCTTTCCTTTCCTACCACATAGCAAGGCTGGAAATTTTCCAAATTTTAATGGTTTATTTCCTTTTTAATTATAAATTCCACCTTTAAGTCATTCTCTTACTGTCAAATCTGGTCATAGGCTGTTAAAAAGCAGCCCTGCTGACTGGGCACAGTGGCTCATGCCTGTAATCCCAGCACTTTGGGAGGCCAAGGTGGGCAGATCACTTGAGGCCAGGAGTTCAAGGCCAGCCTGGCCAACATAGCGAAAACTCATCACTACTAAAAATACAAAAATTAGCCAGGCCTGGTGATGTGCACCTGCAGTCCCAGCTACTCAGGAGGCTAAGGTCAGAGAATCACTTGAATCCAGGAGGCGGAGGTTGCAGGGAGCTGAAATGGTGTCACTGCATTCCAGCCTGGGTGACAGAGTGAGACTCTGTCTCAACCCCCCCCCCAAAACAAAACAAAACAAAACAAAAAACAAACAAACAAAAAAACCCAGCCATGCCACTTCTTGAACACTTTGCTGCTTAAAAATTTCTTTCGACAGATACCCTAGGTCATCACTCTTGTTTGTCCTTCCATGAATCCTTGGGGTATGGACACAATGCAGTCATGTTCTTTGCTATGGTGTCACAAGTGTGACCTTTGCTCCATTTCCCAATAACTTCCTCATTTCCATCTGAGACCTCATCAGACTGGACTTCACTGTCCATATCATTATGAGCATTTTGGTCACAACCATTCAACCAGTCTCTAGGAAGTTCCAAACTTTCCCTCATCTTCCTCTCTTCTTCTGTGCCCTCCACACTCTCCTAACCTCTGCCCATTACCCAGTTCCAGAGCTGCTTCCACATTTTCAGGTATCTTTGTAGCAATGTTCCACTTCTAGGTATCAATTTTCTGTATTAGTCCATTCATGCATTGCTATAAAGAAATATCTGAGACTGGGTAATTTATGAAGAAAAGAGGTTTAATTGGCTCACAGTTCCACAGGCTGTACAGGAAGCATGATGCTGGCATCTGCTTGGCTTCTGGGAAGCCCTCAGGAAGCTTCCATTCATGGCGGAAGGCAGAGGTAGAGCATGTACTTCACATGGCCAGAGTAGGAGCAAGAGACAGTGAGGGGAGCGGTGCTATACACTTTTAACCAGAGTTTATGAGAATTCACTTACTATTGAGAGCACAGTACCAAGATAGATGGTGCTAAACCATTCATGAGAAAGTGCTCCCATGATCAAATCACCTTCCCATCAGGACCCACCTCCAACATTAGGGATTACGATTCAACATGAGATTCAAGGACACAGATCCAAACCATATCATGCTCTGTAATTCTTTCTTTAGCTTGGCCTATTCTGCTGCTAATGCTTTTGATTGTATTATGAAATTCTTGAGGAGGAGCCAAGATGGCTGAGTAGATGCAGCCAGGAGGAATATTCTCCCACAAAGATACTGGGATATTGAGAGAGACTGGCACACTCTGAGCAGCTCTTCAGAACAAAAGTGTTGAGAGTGGACAGAGGGAGGACACAGATGCTGGACTGAAGGGGGAGTATGCTGGGAGCCCTACACGGGGTTTCTGAGCACCAGGACTTGTTGCTTGCTCCTAGCATCTCCTGGGGAAGGAGTAAACTGAACAGGTGAGGAGTGGCCTACTCTCACCATGAACCTCCAGAATCCTAGCTGCAGGAGACCCCACAACCCCCATAGACATCTGAGCTGACAGGAAGAGCTGCCTAGACAGGTAGTAGGGGCAGGACTCCAGCCTGTGCAGAGCCCAGAGGGTTTTGGCATGGGAATGGCTACAGTGGAGCATGGCCAGTGACATCCATCCCCCAAGGTTCGCCATGCTCCTCTGGGAGATTTTAGCCTTAGCATGACTGTTGGACCTGGACAGAGCAGGATGGTCTTGCCCTTGGTCTTGCTCAGTCTGATCTGAGTGCCCCCTTGTCTGCTGGCCTCTCCTGAGGTCCCAGCCTGGCCATGCCTGCTTGCAGCACAGCCTTGGATGCCCAATCAGCGTGCTTCCCAGGGACCCTCATCACAGCTCCCTTGCTGGTGGACTGCACCTAACCTTTTGGAAGCTCCAGCAGACTGACCTCTGCTGATGCACACCAGTGTACCCACGGCCTCTTCCCCCACTGCTTTGTCAGCACACTCGCATGGGCAGATCTTGCCTACCATGCTGGTGCATGTGTGTGCAGGTATTACACCATGCCACTGCTACTGGCATGAGTGCACCCTGCTGCTCTCCACCCCTGCGGATGTGTGGTCACTCTGCCATGTCACCAGTGCCAGTATGAACATGTGCACAGACACTGACAACCCTGCCCCTTCCACACCACTGCAATCACCAGTGCAAACGCATGCACGGACACTGGCAATCCTGCCCGCATCATGCCACTGCTGTTGCTGGTATGAATGCACACGTGGACACCAGCAACCCTGCCCCCACAAGTTCCCTGTCCCTGCCATGCTGCTGCCAGTGTGAGAGCATGTGCAGGAATGCTGCTGCCCTGCTCTCACCAGTGCCCCTCCCCAGCCAATGTGCATGCACCCCACTGTGCTGCTGCAGCTGCTGACATGCATGAGTGAGCATAAATCCCACTGCCATTGCCCCAATGAAACACTTTGGCTGACACCCCCCATTGGAGTGTTGGGGGTCAGTGGACCAGAAACACCTTGGCCCCTCTAGTCCGGCAAATTCCTAAATCAAGGGGCCAGAGAAGAAAGCTGGGAGCCCAAAACCAGTGCCCCAGAGTTAGAGCAGTTAGCCCAGGAGTGCTGAGCTAAGCCTTAGCCCCCCTAAAATGATCCAGAAACAAAATCAGTCAAATGAACCCACCTTACATCACAATCAAACCCCAAAGGGCATCACATATACAAGCAAAAAAACCCATCCAAAGGAAATAACTTCAAAGATTAAAGGAACATCAGCCCCACACATAAGGGAAAGAATCAGCGTAAAAACTATGGTAATTCAAAAAGCCAGAGTGTCTTCCTACCTCCAAATGACTGCACTAGTTCCCCAGCAATATTCTTAACCAAGCTGAAATGGCTGAAATGACAGACACACAATTCAGAATAGGAATAGGAATGAGGATTATCGAGATTCAAGAGAAAGTTGAAACCCAACCCAAGGAATTTAAGGAATACAATAAAATAATACAGGAACCAAAAGATGAAATGGCCGTTTTAAGAAGGAACCCAAATTGATCTGATGTAGCTAAAAAATTTATTTCAATAATTTCTAAATACAATCACAATTATTACTATTATTATTATTATTATTATTATTGAGACAGAGCTCTGCTACCCAGGCTGGAGTGCAGTCAGGGGATCCCGGCTCACTGCAACCTCTGCTTCCTGGGTTCAAGTGATTCCCCTGCCTCAGCCTCCTGAGTAGCTGGGACTACAGGCACAGTACACCACACCTGGCTAATTTTTGTATTTTTAGTAGAGATGAGCCTTCACAAACTCCTGACCTCAGGTGGTCCACCTGCCTTGGCCTCCCAAAGTGCTGGGATTACAGGAGTGATGGGTCTGGCATGGTGGCTCACACTTTTGATCCCAGGACTTTGGACGGCCGAGCGCGGAGGATCGCTTGAGCACAGAAGATTGCTTGAGCCTAGGAGTTCCAGACCAGCCTGGGCAACATGGTGAAACCCGGTCTCTTTTTAATTTTTTTGAGACTGGGAGTTTCGCTCTTGTTGCCCAGGCTGGAGCGCAGTGGCATGGTTTTTGCTGGCTGTGGCCTCCGCCTCCCAATTTTGGGTGGTTTTCCCTCAGCCTCCGGAGTGGCAGGGATTGCAGGCATGAGCCACCATGCCCGGCTCATTTGTTTTTTATTTTTTTATATTTTTAATTTTTATTTTTTGGTACAGACGGGTTTCTCCCTGTTGGTTAGGCTGGTCTCAAACTCCTGACCTCAGGTTATCTGCCTGCCTCGGCCTCCCGGGTTGCAGGCGTGAGCCACCGGGGTGCTGGGATTGCAGGGGTGATCCACCACGCCTGGCCCACTTTATTAATCGGAAAGGAATAGATCGGCCTGGCACGGTGGCTCACGCTTGTGATCCCAGGACTTCGGACGGCCGAGGGCGCGCGGATCTCATGAGCCTAGGTGTTCCAGACTGGCCTGGGCAACATGGTGAAACCCGGTCTTTTTTTTTTCGAGGTGGAGTTTCGCTCTTGTTGCCCGGCTTGGAGTGCAGTGGCCCGGTCTCAGCTCCCAGCGGCCTCCGCCTCTGGGTTTGGGTGGTTCTCCAGTCTCAGCCTCTGGAGTGGCTGGGATTGCACGCGTGAGCCACAATGCCCGGCTCATTTTGTAGTTTTTTTGTATTTTTTGTTTTTGTTCTTTGTTGGTACAGACGAGGTTTCTCCATGTTTGTCAGGCTGGTCTCAGACTCCCGACCTCAGGTTACCCGCCAGCCTTGGTCTCCCGGGGTGCTGGGATTGCAGGTGTGAGCCACCGCTCCCGGCCCAATTTATTAATCAGAAAGGAATAGATCGGCCTGGCGTAGTGGCTCACGCTTGTGATCCCAAGAATTTGGACGGCCGAGCGCGGCGGATCGTTTGAGCCAGGAGTTCCAGATCCGCCTGGGCAACGCGGTGAAACCTGGTCTCTCTTTTTTTTTTTTTTTTTTTTTGAGACAGCGTCTTGCTCTCTTGCCCAGGCTGGAATGCAGTGGCACGATCTCAGCTCACTGCAAGCTCCGCCTCCCGGGTTCACGCCATTCTCCTGCCTCAGCCTCCCGAGAAGCTGGGACTACAGGCGCCCGCCACTACGCCTAATTTTTTTGTATTTTTTTTAGTAGAGTCGGGGTTTCACCGTGTTAGCCAGCATGGTCTCGATCTCCTGACCTCGTGATCCGCCAGCCTCAGCCTCTCAAAATGCTGGGATTACAGGCGTGAGCCACCGCGCCCGGCTTGTTTTTTTTTGTTTGTTTGTTTTGAGACGGAGATTCACTCTTGTTGCCCAGGGTGGAGTGCAGTGGCGCAGTCTCGGCTCGCCGGGCCTCCGCCTCCCAGGTTTGGTTGGTTCTCCTGCCACAGCCTCCCGAGTGGCTGGGATTGCACACTTGAGCCATCATGCCCGGGTCATTTTTTTTTTTTTTTTTTTTTTTGGTGGAGATGGGGTTTCTCCATGTTCCTCAGGCTGGTCTCAAACTCCCGACCTCAGGTTATCTGCCCGCCTCGGCCTCCCGAGTGGCTGGGATTGCAGGCGTGAGCCATCGTGCCCGGCTAATTCCCTAACTGTGCAATTGCAAGGTCACTAAACAAACTCAACAAAACGTATTTTTCCTTAAATAGTAAAAAATAATATAATGCATATTTCAATTAATTATCTTTGTTTCTCGCTTCTGTATTATGCTTCCCCCTGCACAGATCTACCCCCGCCCCACAAAATGCTTAAAAGATAGCCCTTGGTTCCAGAACTCAATGCTTTAAATGTTAAGCTGACTGGGCCAGTGCACCTAAATAATATCCTCCTAAACCCCATCAGTCTCTCTAATTCCTTAAAAATCCCGCTACAGAATTGCAAGCCTGAGACACCGCGCCCGGCCCAATTTATTTATCAGAAAGGAATAGATAGGCCTGGCGTGGTGGCTCACGCTTGTGATCCCAGGACATTCAACGGCCAAGCCCGGCAGATCCCATGAGCCTAGGAGTTCCAGACCGGCCTGGACAACATGGTGAAACCTGGTCTATTTATTATTATTATTATTAATTTTTTTCTTTTTTGAGGCGGAATTTCGTTCTTCTAGCCCAGCTGGAGAGCAGTGGCGTGGTCTTGGCTCCCCGTGGCCTCCGCCTCCGGGTTTGGGTGGTTCTCCAGCCTCAGCCTCCCTAGTGGCTGGGATTGCAGGCGTGAGCCACAATGCCCAGCTCATTTTTTTTTTTTCTTTTTGGTACAGATGGGGTTTCTCCATGTTGGTTAGGCTGGTCTCAAACTGCCGACCTCAGGTTAACTGCCCGCCTCAGCCTCCAGGGATGCTGAGATTGCAGGCGTGAGCCACCGCGCCTGGCCCAATTTATTAATCAGAAAGGAATAGATCAGCCTGGCGTGGTGGCTCACGTTTGTGATCCTAGGACTTTGGATGGCCGAGCACGGCGGATCTCTTGAGCCTAGGAGTTCCAGACCCTCCTGGGCAACATGGTGAAACCTGGTCTTTTTTTTTTTGGGTGGGGGGCGGAGTTTCGCTCTTGTTGCCCAGGCTGGACAGCGGTGGCAAGGTCTCGGTTCGCTAGGCCTCTGCCTCCGGGTTTAGTTGGTTCTCCTGCCTCAGCCTCCAAGTGGCTGGGATTGCACGCATGAGCTACCATGCCCGGCTGATTTATTTATTTATTTATTTATTTTTTGGTACAGACGGGGGTTTCTCCCTGTTGGTCAGGCTGGTCTCAAACTCCCGACCTCAGGTTACCCGCCCTCCTCGGCCTCCGGGGGTGCTGCGATTGCAGGCATGAGCCAGGGCGCACGGCCCAATTTATTATTTTTATTATTTTTTTTCGAGACGGAGTCTCTGTCACCCAGGCTGGAGTGCAGTTGCGCTATCCCGGCTCACTGCAACCTCCACCTGCAAGGTTCAACCGATTCTCCTGCCTCAGCCTTCTGAGTAGCTGGGATTACAGGCGCCCGCCACACACTCGGCTGATTTTTTTGTATTTTTGGTAGAGACGGGGTTTCATCATATTGGCCAGGCTGGTCTCGAACTCCTGAACTCAGCTGATCCACCCACCTCAGCCTCCCAAAGTGCTGGGATTACAGGCGTGATCGGCCTGGCTTGGTGGCTCACGCTTTTGATCTCAGGACTTGGGATGGCTGAGCGTGGCAGATCACTTGAGCCTAGGAGTTCAGACCGGCCTGGGCAACATGGTGAAACCAGGTCTCTTTTTTGCTTGTTTTTTTTGAGAGGGAGTTTCGCTCTTGTTGCCCAGGCTGGAGTGCAGTGGCGCAGTCTCGGCTCCCCGCGGCCTCCGCCTCCCGGGTTTGGGTGGTCCTCATGCCTCAGCCTCCCGAGTGGCCGGGATTCCAGGCATGAACCACCATACCCGGCTAATTTTTTTTTTTTTTTTTTGGTCCAGACGAGGTTTCTCCATATTGGTCAGGATGGTCTCAAACTCCCGACTTCACGTTACCCAACCGCCTCGGCCTCCCGGGGTGCTGGGATTGCAGGTTTGAGCCACCGCGCCCGGCCCAATTTATTAATCAGAAAGGAATAGATCGGCCCGGAGTGGTGGCTCACGCTTTTGATCCCAGGACTTTGGACGGCCGAGTGCGGCAGATCGCTTGAGCCTAGGAGTTCCAGACCTGCCTGGGCAATATGGTGGAACCTGATCTCTTTTTTTTTTCTTGAAGCGGAGTCTCGCTCCTTTGCCCAGGTTGGAGGGCAGTGGCGCGGTCTCGGCTCGCCTAGGCCTCCGCCTCCCAGGTTTGGGTGATTCTTCTGCCTCAGCCTCCTGAGTGGCTGGGATTGCGGGCGTCAGCCACCATGCCCGGTTAGTTTTTTATTTTTTATTTTTTTGGTAGAGATGCGGTTTCTCCATGTTGGTCGGGCTGGTCTCCAGCTCCTCACCTCGGGTGATCCGCCGGCCTCGGCCTCCCGGGCTGCTGGAATTGCAGTCGTGAGTCACTGCGCCTGGCCCGAAACCCGGTCTCTTAACGGAAAAACAAAACAAAAGCCACAAAGATTAGCCGGGCGTGGTGGGCCCCGCGGGTAGTCCCAGCTACTCCAAAGGCTGATGCAGGAGGATTGCTTGAGCCCGGGGGGTGTGGGGGGGTGTGGTGGGGGGTGGAGGTGGCAGTGAGCCATGATGGCCCTGCTGTAGTCCAGACTGGAGGACAGAGCGGGACTGTGTCTCAGGAAAAGGGAAAGGAAAAAAAAAAAAAGAAAGTATATAAAATTGTTAAATCAAGGAGCAGCTGGACAGTGTATTACTGAGAGAAGTAGAGGCAAAGGTTAGCGGACACCAGTGGTCACTTAGTGGAACTGCAGGTGCTCCCCGACAGGAGGCTGCTACTCTTCCCAAAGAACTCTATTATTGACTTAAAAAAAAAAAGTTGTAGGTTTGTTACAATATACAAATAGCTAAACTTTATATAGCCTCAACCCTCTTCTAGCACTGCTCTAAGCCTTTTCCTGCTCTGAAATAGCTACTATTGTTACCTTCATTGTAGGTATGCCAGAGGTTGTTGTGGAAGGACCAGGGAAACTGACTATGAAATTGACTTGCAAGTTTCAGACTTAAAGGTTCTTCCTGCTCTGCTTCTTACATTGCCACATTTTAGTTAACATATCTCTTAAAATACTGGTCTTTTCTATATTTGGAGGGACTCCTCTTGCAATTTGAAGTTTTTTCTTGCACTAAGCATTTGGTCATAAGATCGTCTGTGTTTTATGTCAGTTTAAGTTTAGACATTGTTCAGTTAGGAATGTAAATATGAGCAAACAGGTATCTGATTGAAATAGATAACCTAGAAAAAATCACTTATGAAAAAGTCAAGAAAATGTGAACTCTGGATTTGCGGCTATTTTCAGAATGTATTAATTTTTTGGTATTTAATGGCATTGTGAATATATTTTTAAAAATTCTTTGTCTTCTACAGATACATATAAGGTAATTAAAAAATGATATGATGTATAGTTTTCACTTCAAAATAATTCAGAGGAAGAAGGAATGTATATAAATGAAGTGGGAATATAAATGAAACAAAACTGGCTGTGGCCAGGTGCGGTGGCTCACGCCTGTAATCTCAGCACTTTGGGAGGCCAAGGTAGGCGGATCACTTGAGGTCAGGAGTTCGAGACGAGCCTGGCCAACATGGTGAAGCCCTGTCTCTAATAAAAATATAAATAAATAAATGAATTAGCTGGGCGTGGCAGCAGGTGTCTGCAATCCTAGCTACTCGGGAGGCTGAGGCTGGAGAATTGGTTGAATCTGGTGGGGCGGGGGGGAAGTTGCAGTGAGCCAAGATAGCGCCACTGCACTTCAGCCTAGGCGGCAGAGCAAGGCTCCATCTCAAAAAAATTAAAATAGCCTTTTGGTGTGGTGGCAGGGGTTGTACTTGACAATAATTCTATGTGAGAAGGGCCATGATTAATCTGTAAGTGTTTAGAATGATTTAAGTATAAGTCAAGTTCATAGAGACCTTCCATTTACTCATAGGTCATTTTTGTTTTATTCAGTGATGCAACCATTATTTTACATGGTCAAAAAAGATATTGACCCCATATCATGTATTATAATAGATATGTTCTAGGTAGCAGAGATACAGCTATGAACAAGACAGTCAACATCTCTGCTGTCATGGAGTTAGCTTACAACTAATGTGGAAGTTAGAAACAAAAAAAGTTAATATGACATGCAATGCTAGGGAGAAGATTAGAGCAGGTTAAGGGAAGAAGAGGGGTGGAGGCCCTGGATGATAGGAGATAGAGTTGTCAGGAAAGACTTGGAGGAGGAGATAACAGAGCATGGCCTGAATAAAGTGAAGATGGAAGCCATGTGATGAGCTGGGGGAAAAGCATTCCAAGAGAGGGAACAGCAAGTCCAAAGGCACAGAGATGAGAAGAAACTGTTCACAGAATGAGAAATTAGTATGTGAGACTCAAACAGTAAGTTGGGGGAGAGTAGGAATAGATTAAGTCTGAGAAGTAAAGTGCGAGATCATCTAGGGTCTTGTAGACCATGGTAAAGATTTTGTGGCCTGGCACAGTGTCTTACGCCTGTAATCCCAGCACTTTGGGAGGCCGAGGCGGGTGGATCACGAGGTAAGGAGTTCAAGACCAGCCTGGCAAAGATGGCGAAACCCTGTCTCTACTAAAAATACAAAAAAAAATTAGCCAGGTGTGGTGGCACGCGCCTGTAATCCCATGTACTCCAAAGGCTGAGGCAGAGAATTGCTTAAACCTGGAGGGGCGGAGGTTGCAGTGAGCCGAGATCGCGCCACTGCACCCCAGCCTGGGCGACAGAGCAAGACTCTGTCTCAAAAAAAAAAAAAAATTCATCTCTAAGCTCCCCACCACTCTAAAGATGGGCCATATTGGCCGGGTGCGGTGGCTTATGCGTATAATCCCAGCACTTTGGGAGGCTGAGGCAGGCAGATCACTTGAGATCAGGAGTTTGGGACCTGCCTGGCCAACATGGTGAAACTCTGTCTCTACTAAAAATACAAAAATTAGCCGGGTGTTGTGGTGCACACCTGTAGTCCCAGCTACTTGGGAGGCTGAGGCAGGAGAATCTCTTGAATCTGGGAGGCGAAGGTTGCAGTGAACCAAGATCGTGCCACTGCATTCCAGCCTGAGTGACAGAGGGAGATTCTGTCTCAAAAACAAGAAACAAACAAAAGTCAAATGGATTAGAGAAATGAGAGGGGTAGATAATTCACTCACACAATAAGTAGTTATGGAAGGCCTACTATAATGTTACTATTTTATAACTTACAATTTATTGAGCACTTATATGCAGACATTCTGCTAAGTGTTGTACATTTGCAGTGATCTCACTTCTCACAACAATCCATTAAGGCTGGTACTGTTATTCTCCCCATTGTACACACAAGGAGACAGGCTCAGAGAGATCTAGTAACTTACCCAGGGACAAACAGCTGGTAAATAGCACAAAGGTCTATAAGGTTACAAAGCTCAGGATATCTGCTATGCTCTCCCACATGCCAGACACAATTGCATTTGTGTAATCATGACATTCCACTGCAGGAACTCCTCCTATTTGATCCCAGCCTGAAAACAGGGCACCTGAACTTAGTTGCCCACTGGGAGCAGCTGAGGTGGAGGAAGAGGGATCTGCAACTTTGCACTCCTGTGCAGTCTTGGTGGAGCTGTCCATCAAGGTGCCTGCCCTCCTTAGCTAAAGTGTGGACATGTTACCTGAGCTCAGCCAATTGAACCCTTGCTCCAGGGACTTTGACTCATCAAAGAAAGCTCTGGTCAAGAAAGGGAAAAAAAACATGGAATTGATTCACTTGCCTGCCTAAACTCTCAAAACATCTCCGCTTTCTAACCTTTTCTAAGCCTGATTCTCCAGCTTCGTGTTACCTCTGTGAGTTAGACACTAGCCTGCCAATAAAATCCTTTTCAGGTAAAGTTAGCCAGAATTGATTCTTAAGACTTGCAATCAAAGAACTTGCACTGGCAATATCAGCAAAAGAAATTACACAGTCTTGTAAAGCTTAAGTGAGTGACTCATTCCTTGGATAAATGTGTATTAAGCAGGGTCAGGACTAGAATGAAGCAAAGTGAGGCACCCAGGGTACAAAATTTAAGGCTTTCTTCCTCAGTGTTGTGTGAGTGCAGGGTTGGCTCTAACAGCCCTCCCTGCTATCAAAATTAGTAATAAAAAGAACGGAGAAGATCATTTCTTTTTCACATAAGAGTATGAAGTGAGTGTCCCAAGTCGGCAGGTAGCATTCGGCACCTTCTGTGCTGTGGCTCTGTCCCCTAGCACGTCATCATCATCATCACAAGGTCAAGGCTGGGCCAGCCAGTGAGAAGGAGAAAGAGTAACTCCTGCCAGAGCTTTAGCAATGTTAGCTATGGCTAAGCCTCAACCTCCCCAAGCCTCACTTTATTCACCTGTAAAATAGGACTAAGAAAAATCATCTTTAATTCCAAGATGTTTTGAGGATCAAATGAAACAACATGTAAAACTGCTTTGCAGACTGTGCAGTGCCCTATAAGCGGTAGTCACTATGTAGTCTCTTTGCTGAGTATCAGTTTATCTGCAAAGTGACAACTGAATACACACCTCCCAGGATTGTTGTAAGAATCTGCTAGACGAACGATTAAAGTATAAACTTTGGAATCCAACAGGAATAGGTTGGCGTTTTGCTCTGCCCCTCACCAGCTGTAAGATCTCGGACCCTCTGTGAGCCTGTGTCCTCATCTGCAGCGAAGGGATCAGGGTGCTCCTCCATCACAGGGCTGCTGTGAGCATGAAGAGAGACAGCAGGAGTGAGTCCTTGGCGCGGTGCCCAGCCTTGTTCCGATCCGCAGGTGCAGTGACGAATGCCACCTCCGGGATCCCTTCCAAAAAGCACAGCCGGGTTGTACCCTTCTGCCTCTGCTCAGCGCCCACGGTCAGCCCCACTCGGTGTGAGCAGAGCGGCTGCTCACAGCCTCTGACACGAAAGTCACTCCCACTCAGTTCCCCAAACCACAGCTATCCCCACTGTTGAGTGTGCGGTAAGTGCCCGCTGGGCACAGGGCGGAGTGCCACCAGACGACCGCTTAGAGCTCACAACCTATGATTTAACGCAGGGAACCAAAGCCTTTTCCTTCATTCTAAGACTGCATACCAAAAAGAAAAAAAAAGTTTGGGGGAAAAATAAAGCTGCCTCTTGCATTTGGAAGGAAATCACGTTCCTTCAGACCCCGTGCTGGCGGGGTCCTTACTAATAGAAGGAGATCATCTTTCACTTCCTTCCTTGAGATGGATTTTCCAACCCTGCTGTCAGACTCCAGCTCCGTGAAGCAGCAGTCACTGTACGGGTGATTGATAAAGCTCCATGGGGTCTTCTGTAACAGTGCTGATTTTATAAGCACACCTTCTAGAAGCCACTTAGAGACTGCTCTATTGGAGACACTAATGTTCCTATTTTTCTATACTTTTCCCAGCTCTATATTTGAGAAACTGGCCTTTTATTCTTAATGACTTACAGTAAAATTGTCTTCAGGTCAGTGTGTGCCTCTCCTGTTTTGTAGCATTTTGATTTTCCAAATCATCCTTATATCTGTAATGCTTAAAGAGGGGTGGAAGGGAGAAGGGTGGAGAGTTGTTTAATCTGGAAGGGGCCCTCTGGGCCTTGATGTGGAACTAGAGCTCCTTTATTCTGGTGGTTTGCGGTTGAGCTACAGTACTGCTGAGTGGTGGAGCAAGAGGCCATTTATAACCCTGAGAATTTTGCAATGTTATTGAATTCCTTCTACCTAATTTCCACTTCCTTTCTGGAATGAAAATGAAGAGAGTAAGCAAACATGTGCTGGGAGGGTTCCCTACAAGGATATATTTTATCCTGGGAATCTTATCTGGAGAATAGAATTACTTCTAGTCTCCTATCTCCTGATGTTTCTATTCCATAGGGAGAAAAGCAGAGAGATGTTTTCCTCTTTAACTAGAGTTAGGTGTGCTAACCCTGATTTTTCAGTAAGAATTATTCTAATGTTTGATATGAAAACAACAGTTCTTTAATTTAATTTTTATTTTTTAATAGAGACAGGATCTTGCTCTGTCACCCAGGCTAGAGTTCAGTGACATGATCATAGTTCACTGCTGCCTCGAACTTCTGGGCTGAAGCGACTCTCCTGCCTCAGCCTCCTAAGTAGCTAGGGACTACAGGAACATGCCACCATGCCCAGCTAATGTTTTATTTTTTTTGTAGAAACAGGTCTCTAACTCCTGGCCTGAAGTGATCCTCCTGCCTTCACCTCCCAAAGCATTGGGATTACAGGTGTGAGCCACTGCGCCCAGCCAAAACAAACTGTTAAACAATGAAAATACTTTGTAGTGAAAGGGTATTGGGACACAGAGGGAACACCAGACAACCTGCGCAATTCATGCCCATCCCTGTCCATTTGGAGCCAGCTTGGTTCCAGCTTGGAAGAAGTCAGAGTCATCGGGTTTAAGCAGACACAGGTGCTTACTGAGCCTTCGCTGGACACCAAGTGTTGTGCTAGGTTGACACTGCAGAGTTATACCTGTCCTGGAGGAGGAGCTAGTGGAGATATGTAAATATGTAACTATAATAGAGTATGACAAGATCACACTCGCTAATGGAAGTATGAACAGGATGCTGTGAGAACACAGAGGCCCCTGTCCTATTTAGTTTTGCCAGGAAAAGTTAGAGAAAGCTAAGACTAGTACAGGGAAGAGGTAGCATCTGATCTGAACTAGGCTTTGATGCTTGAATAGGAGCTGTTCTGACAGTCAGTAGGAGGAAGAGAATATGCAAAGGTACAGAAGAATTGAAAGAACACGGCCTTATAGAAATAGCAGGTAGTCCAGGGAAGAGTCTGGCTAGATTGTAAAGGACCAAATAGCACACAAGGGACCGTGGCCCACCTGTAGACAGTGGAGTGCTATCTTTTGATACAATGGTGAGTTCTTGTGAAAGTTTCTTAGCCTCAGTGTGCTTTGGTTTCGGATACACAAACCAGAAATTGCCACAAAGCACCTGCTGCGGGTCAAGTGCAGAGCCACCTGCTTTCTCATGGCTTTCCAGCAATACCAGATAACCTGGGATCAAATTCTGGCTGTGCCACTTCCTAGCTGTGTGACACTGAGCCTGCTACTTAACTCTTCTGTGCCTCTATTTTCTTGTCTCTAAAGTGGGGATAATAACATACCACACAGCGTTGCTGTGCAGATTAAATTAATTAGTATATATAGAGCCTTTAAAATAGTGCCCTAGCATTATGTAATTGTTAGCTAATGTCATCATGTAAGGAAGTATTATGTAGAGGGATCAGTCCTAAGACCTTGGCTTCAGACCCAGTTCTGAAGTGTTGGGTTGACTTACTGTTCTTTTCCCTCCCTTCTTTTTTTTTCTTCCTTCATTTGGGAGGGAGGTGTAGAAAGAGGTACATGGAGAACAAGTTTGTCGATCCATCTGAACTTCAGTTGCCTTACCTGTAAGATAGGAATGTTTTTCAGAGTTCTTATGAGCATCAACTAAAATAATGCTATAGAAGTGAGCAATCAACTATAAAGAGGCTACCTGGGCTGGGCATAGTGGCTCACGCCTATAATCCCAGCACTTTGGGAGGCTGAGGCAGGTGGATCACCTGAGGTCAGGAGTTCAAGAGCAGCCTGGCCAACATGGTGAAACCCCGTCTCTATTAAAAATACAAAAATTAGCTGGGTGTGGTGGCGAGCACTTGTAATCCCAGCTACTCGGGAGGCTGAGGCAGGAGAATCGCTTGAACCCAGGAGGTGGAGGTTGCAGTGAGTGGAGATCGCGCCATTGCACTCCAGCCTGGGAGACAGCGAGACTCCATCTCAAAAAAAAAAAAAAAAAAAGGCTGGGCGCGGTGGCTCACGCCTGTAATCCCAGCACTTTGGGAGGCCAAGGCAGGCTGATCACGAGGTCAGCAGATCGAGACCATCCTGGCGAACACAGTGAAACCCCATCTCTACTAAAAATACACACACACACACACACACACACACACACACACACACACTACACACACTAGCCGGGCGTGGTGGCGGGTGCCTGTAGTCCCAGCTACTCAGGAGGCTGAGGCAGGAGAATGGCGAGAACCCGGGGGGCGGAGCTTGCAGTGAGCAGAGATCGCGCCACTGCACTCCAGCCTGGGAGACAGCGAGACTCCGTCTCAAAAAAATAAATAAATAAAAATAAAATAAAAATAAAGACGCTACCTGTACGTTACTATTAGATATACGATTACTACGAAGTTACTGTATAACTGATCTGTTGCAAACAAATCAGACTTACCTAGTGGATAAGAGCAAACCTGTGGATTTTGCTGTCATTAATTCAGCCATTGTTAATTAAGTGCTTACCCAGAACCATCATCTTATGCCAGTGATGCTGCTGTCTGCTCAGACCTCCATTTTAGAGTTCCTGCAGAACTTGGGGGCAGTTTTGGTCTTAGGCTTATTAGTTGCAATGAGTAGATACATAGACTAGCTTAATTTATAGGAGTTTTATTGGCAGGATACAGTGGACTTTCAGGTACCCCAAGCATAGGAAGTGTAGCCACGTAATCGGGAAAGTTACCAGGTAATGGCTTTTCTCATCTTTCTGATTTCTGGCCTCAGCTCATTTATATATTTCTGGATTCCTCTTGCAGAATCACTTCCTCTGAAAGGCTCTTGGTTTTTTATTCTCCGTATTTTTGGCTTATGCGAATCTTTGGCTTGCCATGGTAACTGCTCTGAAGCTTACTATGATCTTACTTCTCCAGGGCCCGTTATCACCCAGTTCCCTTAGTCTGTGTCTTTTGTTTGTTTGTATGTATGTATGTATGTATTTATGATGGAGTGTCACTCTGTCGCCCAGGCTGGAGTGTAATGGTGCAATCTAGGCTCACTGCAACCTCTGCCTCCCAGGTTCAAGCGATCCTCCCTGCCTCAGCCTCCTGAGTAGTTGGGATTACAGGCGCCTGCCATCACGCCCAGCTAATTTTTGTATTTGTAGTACAGACGGGGTTTCGCCATGTTGGCCAGGCTGGTCTTGAACTCCTGACCTCAGGTGATCCACCTGCCTCAGCCTCCCAAAGTGCTGGGATTACAGGCGTGAGTCACCACGCCTGGCCAATCTGTGTATTTTAAATTCAAGAGAAAGAATTGGAATAATTCAGCTAAAGTTGGGTATTCACTTTGGTCCCATCAGCTATGGCAGGGTTGTGGAGAGTGTCATTCAGTTCAGATAGGCTGCCTGGGCTTTGTGGGAAGGACAGAGTCACTGAGAATGGGGGCTTATTAATATCTTTCAAATAGTTCAGTAGTTGCAAATCTCCATGCTTTAAAATGTATATGAACTTTTGAACAGCTGAGAATCATTCAGTGCTAACTTTAATAAACAGAGCATCAACCTAGGATATGTCATATGGGGTCAAGAGAAAATAATAGGTATAACATAATGAGCTTTGGCTTAATTATCTCCAAAGATGGTTTTCAGAAAGGAGTTAAAAATAATGTGGTTTGTTTCTTAGCAGCACCATCGAAATTAAGGAAGGGTGTAACTTCATTTGGTGAGGACTTTAAAATGGGCATCCTCACTTGGATTTTTAAAATTCCACTTAAGAATCATGGACTTTTAGACTTAGAAGTCACCTGAGACATGCTTTAGTTCTACACTCACGTCTTTCTTTCTTTCTTTTTTTTTTTTCGAGACGGAGTCTTGCTCTTTCGCCCAGGCCGGACTGCCGTGGTGCGATCTCTATCTCGGCTCACTGCAAGCTCCGCCTCCCGGGTTCACGCCATTCTCCTGCCTCAGCCTCCCGAGTAGCTGGGACTACAGGCGCCCGCCACTGTGTCTGGCTAATTTTTTGTATTTTTAGTAGAGACAGGGTTTCACCATGTTAGCCAGGATGGTCTCGATGTCCTGGCCTCATGATCCGCCTGCCTCGGCCTCCCAAAGTGCTGGGATTACAAGCATGAGCCACCGCACCTGGCCTACACTCACATCTTTCAATAGAAGAAAACTGAGATTTGGTTAAAGGGGCATGTATACATCGTGAAAGACCTAGGATTGGGTCCTGAGGCCTTTGGCTCTAAATACAGTCACTTTTTTCAGCAGGGACAATTATCCATCCCTCAATAGAAGAAAACTGAGATTTGGTTAAAGGGGCATGTATACATCGTGAAAGACCTAGGATTGGGTCCTGAGGCCTTTGGCTCTAAATCCAGTCACTTTTTTCAGCAGGGACAATTATCCATCCCTCAATAGAAGAAAACTGAGATTTGGTTAAAGGGGCATGTATACATCATGAAAGAGCTAGGATTGGGTCTTGAGGCCTTTGGCTCTAAATCCAGTCACTTTTTTCACCAGGGACAATTATCCTAGCCCAGTGCTCTTTCTGTTGTGCCTTTTGTACCTGCTTATTTTAAAAATAAGAAGAAGCCAAATTGAAAAACAAATGATCTAAAAAGTCATATTGTATAGTTCCGTTTATATGGAGTACAAAAACAGGCAAAACTCATGGATGATGATAAGAAGTCAGAAATTCCCCTTTAAAGGACTGAAAGGATTGACAGGAAGAGGAAGTATGAAGTAATTTTCTAGGGTGATGAAAATGTTCAGTGTCCCGTTTTGAGTGGCGGTTACAGGGAGATGCATGTGTTTATGTCTATTATGTATATGCATACAAACATATGTACACTTAAGCCCTCTGCATTTTATTGTATGTAAATTATATCTCAGTTTTTAAAATTGACCTCACAACCATGCAGTCCTAGTCTACTAATTGCAGCCGCTTTGCCGATAAGGATAAGGACGCATCTCTAGGCATCCAGAGATTGATGGCGCCACCCCTGGAACGAGAACTCCCTGCCCTGCTGTAACTGCAACAGAGCAGTCTCCCCAGAAATTATGCTGATAGGGCCAGTTTCTTTTCTGAGGTTTGTTGTGTGTCTAGGCATGTAAAAATTACTGTGAAAAATTCTGCCACAAGCCACAGAAGTTATGGAAGCTTTGGGGGCCATAAGGCCAACCCACTTCAATCCCTTTAGGCTGCGTTTAATTGCAGTGGACAGAAGTTGAAGCTGGCTCAGAGGAAAAGGGGAAAGCACTGGCTGAAGCCAGTCCGAGTTCTGTCCCCTATTATGACTTACTAGCTGGGTGACCTTGGGCACTTGACAAAACACTGAGCTTTAGTTGTGCCATCTTCAAATGCAGGTGATAATCCTCTTCTGCCTAATTCATGGTGCTGCTGGGAGGACACAATAAAGTAAGTGAAAGCACTTTGAAAACTAGTTCCTTTACATTGTCATGGTCTGGAAATGCTGGTTTTTTATGACAGTAGACTTCTGAAGCATCCCATCCTGACTAGGAAATGGTCATGAAAGCATCCCTCTTTCTGAGGCCGGGGGGCTTGTGGGGGACAGGACTTTTACTCCTTTTCATCAAAGAGGTTTATACTTATCAGGCTGTGAGAACTGGCATCTGTGTTTAGGCTGAAAAATTGATAGCATACGTGCATAATAGCCTCACAACAGCTATGCTTTGTATGCCAGGAGAGGCAGGTGGTCCCCATAAGCGAGACATGAATTGTGGGTGAATGGCTAAATCTGGAAGATGCAGAAAGGTCTTTTTCATTAAGAGAGAGCCCTCTCCTGGCCAGGAGCGGTGGCTCACGCCTGTAATCCCAGCACTTTGGGAGGCCGAGGCAGGCAGATCATGAGGTCAGGAGATCAAGACCATCCTGGCTAACACGGTGAAACCCCGTCTCAACTAAAAATACAAAAAAATTAGCCGGGCGTGGTGGCGGGTGCCTGTAGTCCCAGCTACTTGGGAGGCCGAGGCAGGAGAATGGCGTGAACCCGGGAGGCGGAGCTTGCAGTGAGCCAAGATCGCAGCCACTGCACTCCAGCCTGGGGCGACAGAGCGAGACTCCGTCTCAAAAAAAAAAAAAAAAAAAAAAGCCCTCTCCTGAACCTGTAGGCAAGGAGTGTAAATATACATCGAAATAATCCATCAGCCAAGTGACTTCCCTTCGTCAGACCTTGGAGAGAGAATGCTTTAGTTACTGCTTGGAATACCAGTAAGCTATCAGAGTTGCCTAGGATACCAGTCACTTGGGCCCATCTTCCAGACTTGCTCAAGATAATTTATTTTCCTTTATTTTGGAGAGAAGTGGGGGAGGTGGTCAGAGGTACTTGCAAAGCCTTGTCCTTATAAGACGGGCCCTTGTGTGAAGATATCTTTATCTCCCTCCACTTGAGTTGTCAGCTGCTATTGCCCTTGGCAATAGGGATGAAAATAGCATTTCCTGTCCCAGTTCTCTTCCCCATTTTCTGATGTCATCCCACACAGAGGTGGCTTTGCATAGTGTCCTTTGAGGGGAAAGCAGTGGCATTGATGAGTGCGAGGGAAGCAAGAGAGCATGTAGCTGTGCCCCGCTGATGCTGGGATCTTCCTAGGATGACTGCAGAACAGAAGGAGCCTGGCTCCTCCAGCTAACCACTCAACCAAGAAAAGCCTGGCTATTCTTATCTGTTTCGGAGCATATGCTTCTCTCCTAAAGGGGGCCAGCGCCTCCACACCTGTGGGTATTTCTTGTCAGGTGGGATGAGAGACTGAGAAAAGAAATAAGACACAGAGACAAAGTATAGAGAAAGAACAGTGGCCCAGGGGACCGGCGCTCAGCATACGGAGGACCCGCACCGGCACTGGTCTCTTGAGTTGCCTCAGTATTTGTTGAGCACTATCTCTACCATCTTGGAGAGGGGGATGTGGCAGGACTATAGGGTAATAGTGGGGAGAGGGTCAGCAGGAAAACATGTGAGCAAAGGTCTCTGGGTCATAAATAAGTTTAAGGAAAGGTGCTGTGCCTCGATGTGCATGTAGGCCAGATTTATGTTTGACTCTACACAAACATCTCAGTGTAGTAAAGAGCAGTATTGCCGCCAGCATGTCTCACCTCCAGCCACAAGGTGGTTTTCTCCTATCTTAGTAAATAGAATGTATGATCAGGTTTTACACCGAGACATTCCATTCCCAGGGACGAGCAGGAGACAGATGCCTTCCTCTTATCTCAACTGCAAAGAGGCCTTCCTCTTTCGCTAGTCCTCCTCAGCATAGACCCTTTATGGGTGTCGGGCTGGGGGATGGTCAGGTCTTTCCCTTCCCACAGGGCCATATCTCAGGCTGTCTCAGTGGGGAGAAACCTTGGACAATACCCAGGCTTTCTTGGGCAGAGGTCCCTGCATCCTTCTGCAGTGCATTGTGTCCCTGGGTACTCGAGATTAGAGAATGGTGATGACTTTTACCAAGCATACTGCCTTCAAACACATTTTTAACAAAGCACATCCTGCACAGCCCTAAATCCATTAAACCTTGAGTCAACACAGCACATGTCTCTGTGGGCACAGTGTTGGGGCTAGGGTTACAGATTAACCGCATCTCAGGGCAGAATAATTTTTCTTAGTACAGAACAAAATGGAGTTTCTTATGTCTACTTCTTTCTACATAGACACAGTAACAGTCTGATCTCTCTTTCCCCCACACTCTCCTCCCAAGGTCTCAAGACAGGAATTTGCAGTAAATACGTTCTTCTACCACTGAGTCCTCTCGACTCTTAAACTGAAGTGCCACATTGGCACATGTTGCTGCTGGCTGATCTATGGATGATAGACAGTTTGTCCCATTTTTTCTTGCTGATTTAATGTCAAAAAACAAAACCCCAAGGAGAGGTTTTGGTATGATCTAGAAAAATTCAAACCAAGTAGTTTCATGTGTTACTTTATGCAGTGTCTGTCTGTAGACTCTTCAAAACATGTAACAAGAGTGAAAAATGAAGAGGTACTCTGACTTTTTCTGTCTTTCAGATTCTTTCTCCCCAGGCAGTCGTGTCTGTGTTCTTGTCTTGCAGAATTAGAGCCCACTGGTTGGGAAAAATGCCACCACCATCAGACATTGTCAAAGTGGCCATTGAGTGTCCAGATGCTAATGCCCAGCTCCTTGAAATCAACCAGGTACACTCCTGAAGTGAGGAAAGGCACCTGGGGAGTGCATGGCAGAGGATATCTTGAGGGATGGGGACTACTGGCATCAAGAGTAAGAACCATCAACAGGAAGGCTAAGCTTTGGGCCTGGCCCACCCTAGGGAAGGTCTGTCACCATGGCTTGGGAGAGGCTTCCTCTTTAACAAAAGCTGTTAGGAAAGAAGTACATTCTCATGCCCCGGCTTGACCCTGCTTGGCAGGCTCTCTTGTCTGAACCTTGGCTTGGGTAGGATGTTGCTGCTATTGAAGGCTCTTTCTCTCTTTTTCAGAAATGGCCCCTGGCATCCATTATCAAGGAAGTTTGTGATGGGTAGGTTGAAATGGACCTCGTTTTTGACAGTGGCAGCTCTGACTGAAGGAGCACTGCCACACCTTGAGGGGAGTTCTGGGAAGGATCTCCAGTTAGGCAGGTCCCCAGAAAGGGGCTCTTGGGAATCATTGTCTTGGGAAGGAGGTACAGTTGACAACAATACCCCTAAGACGTTTATACTTCTTAATTTTTTCCTGTAAGTCTAGCATTGCCCTGCTTGAGGTCATGGTAGGATCTGAGACCCCTCCTCAGTTCCGCACACCTCCTTTTGTGGTGCTTGTCTTTACAAAAGGCTGAGGCTGTGATTTTTTCAACATGACAACCTAAAGCTTTGTTTTTTTCCACTGTATTCCAAATAGGCCACCTGATCCCTTGAGCAACTCTACTGAAAATGACTTATGAGAAGCTTCTGGACAAGAGAGTGGCCAAGTGGGATATACTGTTTTTCTCTTGCGTAGGTGGTCGTTGCCAAACCCAGAGTATTACACCCTCCGTCATGCAGATGATCCTCAGCTGTACATCACTGAACAGGTTAATATAGGGAAAGGCAAAATCAATGTGGGCCTTGCTTGGAAGTAAATGACCCAAGGAGACAGCACTATTTATCTTCACTCAGCATCCAGGTAGCTTCCATGTGTTGGGTAAAGAGTCGCTCCCTGGGCAGACTGGGAAGTACCAGCCCTTGTTCCTCCCTAGTGGCTGGAAAAAGGTGGCTTTTACTTCCTGAGGGCCCAGGGTGCTAGAAGAGGATCTTAGAAGCTCTTTGCCAAGGAATAAGCAGGAGAAGAGGGCCCGACTGAAGAGCCTGTTACATCTACTGTAAAAAAGACAAAACATTATGTTGATTCAACTTGCTTGTACCACTTTAACATTTTATCTTAGTTACCTTTGTTGTTTCTTTGCTTTTCACTACCCAGACTCGCAGTGACGTTAAGAATGGGACAATCGGGCCAGGCGTGGTGGCCCACGCCTGTAATCCTGCACTTTGGGAGGCCGAGGCAGGCGGATCATGAGGTCAGGAGATCAAGACCATCCTGGCTAACACAGTGAAACCCCGTCTCTACTAAAAATACAAAAAAAAAAAAAATTAGCTGGACGTGGTGGCGGGTGCCTGTAGTCCCAGCTACTCGGGAGGCTGAGGCAGGAGAATGGCGTGAACCCGGGAGGTGGAGCTTGCAGTGAGCCGAGATCATGCCACTGCACTCCAGCCTGGGCAACAAAGCGAGACTCCGTCTCAGAAAAAAAAAAAAAAATGAGACAATCTTACAACTGGCTATCTCCCCAGTAGGTATTCTTCCTTCCTTAGGAGTTTATTCATGTCACAAACAAATAAGAGCACCTACCATGGGCCAGGCTCTGTTCTAGAAACAAGGACTCTGGAGATTAAAAAGTCAGTCCTTTTGTATCAGGACATAATATAGGAAGATAAGAGTGTCTTGGTTCTCACCACCTAGTGGGGAGTAAACACATGCAATTGAAGGCCTGTCTCAAGGATCTTGAGAGAAAGTTGCTTAGAGAGCTGTGAGAACTCACAAAGGGGACCACCTAACTCAGCCTGGAGATTTCCAGAAAGCCTTGCCAGAGAAAGGGTCACTTAGCTCAGATGTTAAAGGATGAGCAAGAATTAGCTGGAGAAATAAGAAAAGGAAAAGTATTCTAGTCAGAGAAATCAGCATATGCCAAGGCACAGAGGTTTGCTGTGTTTGGGAAAAGCAGAAGTGCTGGGTGGCTGGAGGCTTGTAGCAATCATTGAAAAGCCAGGTATTCAATGTTCCTTGATGGCCTGCTCATAGGTTTGAACTCTGTCCAGAAGGAAACTAGGGATATTGAAGGATTTTAAGCAGGAAGATATGTTATGTTTAGATTTTAAGTTTTAGAAAGATGACTTTAGTGACCGTGTGGAAGATGGGCCTTAAGAAGTAGGTTGGTGGTAGTAGGAACCTTTTAAGAGGCAAATGAGGAATGTTAACAGCCCAGGGAAGGCAAATGGTAATGGAGATGAAAGGATATGAAGAGTATCTAGGAGGTAACCTTTATGAGTATGGTGATACGCTGGATGTGGAAGGAAAGGGGAGAATGGAGAATGACTCTGGTTTTTGCAAGAGCAGCCCTTAAAGGTCACCAAGGAAGCAACCAGAAGGGTAGAAAGAACACCAAGAATGTGAAGTGACAGGAGCTTTGGGCAGGGAGAGTGTCAGGATTGGGGAAAACATGGTCTGCAATTTTTAATGAGCAGAGAAATTTAGCAAACTGAGAACAGAGAAGCTGTCTCAAGACTTGGGAGGTGAAGAGGACCTTGGTGATCTTCACAAAAAAGTTATGGTGGGGAGGCCAGGTGGCCAGACTGAACTGAGTCAAGTAAAAGAAAGGTAAAAAAGTAAGGACTTTGAGTCTACTGCTGTATCAAGAAGCTTGGTTTTAAAAGAAAACACAGAGAAGGTGATAACGTGAAGAGGATGTAGAGTCAAAAAGATGCGCTTTTTAAAAGCCCGTAAAGCATTCATGTGTTTCACAAATCAAAAATTTTCACAGAGATGTAGCAAAAGGTCTCCCTGCAACTCCTGTCCCCATCTGCCCAGTTCCCCACATTTCTGACCCTTCCTGGTTGTTGTTTCTGTTGCAATTTTTTATGTGCCCTTAAGAATGTGTTAAGATGGAAGAGAGGAAGGTTGAAGGTGCAGGAAAGCAGGTAATCAATAGAACAGGATCTTAGTGGACCAGGAGAGGAAGGACTCAAAGCCCAGGTAGAGGGAATCACCTTGACTGCTAAGCCCATGAGGAAGACAGCCAATATGATTGCACCTTTGGTTACATTCGTAGAAGCGCAGCTAGCAAAATAAGGGCGTGATGGCACCTCTTTTCTTGGTGCAGAGAGAGAGACTGGTTCATCTGAGAGGAGGGGAGGTATGAAGTGATATCAGCCAACCTTTACTGAATGCCTGTATTTTGCTAAATACTTTGTGTAATTAAATCATCTAATCTTTACAAACGTCCCATGAGATAGGTACTCTTAATAGCCACATTCTGTAGACAAGGAAACCAAGGCTTAGAGAGGTTAAATTACTTGCCACTTGTCACACAGCTAATAAAGTAGCCAAGCCTGCTCTCAGACCCAGGTCTGCCTGACTCTAGGCCCATATTCCTCCCATCATGTTCTTCTGCCTCCCCCTCTTCTCCTGAACTCTTCTCATTTTAAGGACTTCATTCTTCCCTCCTAAGCTCTGGTAATTTAATATGACAGCCTGGGAGTTACACACTTTTATGGAAGTGCTGACACATTTCCGACCTCTTGCACAGTGCAGTTGCCTTTCCCAGAAGCACATCTCTCTGGAGCGGGAGGCAGCAGCCCAGAAATGCTGTATCAGGAGGAAAATTGACAGAGTTGGAAGTTTCTAAGTGGGATGCAGACCAGTGCTCTTCAGATTGTTCTGTGCTGTGACCTTTTCCTGTGGCGCACGTTTTGTCCACTGTAGACAGAGTGAGGGCTTCTCTATCACAGAGAGCATTGTGCTGTGAAGGGCCAGCTTTGTAATAGTAAAAGAGGAGAGGCAAAGGGGAGAGGGACAACAGGCCTGACTCCGTGGTGGCCGCAGGAATTGGGCTCCAGTCACTTGCTTAACACTGAGAAAAAGAAGACAGGAGTGTTTTTGCTCTTAAGGCTCTTCCTTTCTAGTGGAGAACATTAAATTAACACCCAAAAAACAGAGTATGATGAAACAGTAAATTGTGAGGTACTATGTACTAACAAGCTCAGCAGAAGGAAAGCCCAGTGAATGCTAGAGGAGGGATTTTAGCCACAGTTTGCAGAAAAGGAGGCAGGCATCCTGCTAGAAAAAGTTCATGTGCTAGGAGGAGGTTTTGTCTTCATCAGCCTTCATTTTCAAAAAATGATTGGGAAATTGTTTCTGGCTCCTTGATATTCTTAAAATTTCTCCAGAACTGTTACTTTGAGGAATAATCATATGGATTTTGAGAGAAAGTTTTTAAAAAATTATCAAGCTTTTCACATTTTAGGATTAAAAGGGAGCTTAGAGAACATTAGATTAAATTCTTCACCCAATGCAAGAATCCCTTCTACAGCATCTTTGACAGATAGTTGTCCACATTCTCCTTGATTGCTTCTGGTGACAGGGAGCTTAATACCCCAAGAGAAACCTCTTCTGCTGTCTAACAGTTTTATAAATTTTATTTTATTTTATTTATTTTTTTTGAGATGGAGTCTTGCTCTGTCGCCCAGGCTGGAGTGCAGTGGCATGATCTCGGCTCACTGCAACCTCCGCCTCCTGGGTTCAAGTGATTCTCCTGCCTTAGCCTCCTGAGTAGCTGGGATTACAGGTGCATGCCACCATGCCCGGCTAATTTTTGCATTTTTAGTAGAGACGGGATTTCACCATGTTGGTCAGGTTGGTCTCGAACTCCCGACCTTGTGATCTGCCTGCCTCAGCCTCCCAAAGTGCTGGGATTACGGGCGTGAGCCACTGCGCCCGGCCAGTTTTATTTAATTTATTTTTTTTATTTTTGAGAGACAGTCTTGCTCTATGACCCAGGCTGCAACGCAGTGGCACAGTCCTAGCTTACTGCAACCTTGAACTCCTGGGCTCAAGCAATCTTCCCACCTCAGCCTCCTGAGTAGCTAGGACTACAGGTGTGCACCACCACACCTGGCTCATTTTTAAAAATTTTTTGTGGAGACGGGGTGTCACTCTGTTGCCCAAGCTGGTGTCTAACTTCTGGTCTCAAGCAATCCTCCTGCCTTGGCCTTTCAAAGCCTTGGGATTATAGGCATGAGCCACTGCACCCAGCCAGACAGCTTTAATTAATAGACAACCTTCCTCTATTAAACCAATATCTGTTTCTCTGTGACTCATTAGTGGGCCTCCCAGATGTCTCTGGTATTCCCTTGGTAGGAATTTTTTTAATCCATAGACCAGAGTGGTACAGAAAAGATACAGATAAATACAGATTTGTTTTGGTATGCTAATAACTCCCTGATTGATCCCACAATTTAGCAACTCCTAAGCAGTGTTAAAAAAGCTAGTTCTGCCTCAGGTTTGGATGTCCACAAAAGAGCCTCTGTGAGCTATCCACAGAGTAGTAACCTGCTCCAAGGAGCAGATGGCACATGTCTTGTCCCTGGTTTCCTAGTCCCAGGCTGCACGCCCAGCTGATGGAGAGGACCCAGTCATCCAACATGGAGACCCGGCTGGATACCATGAAGGTGCTGGCCAAGCTCTGCTGACGTGACTTTTGCTACTGAGTTCATCAACATGGATGGCATCATTGTGCTGACGAGGCTTGTGGAAAATGGAACCAAACTCCTGTCCCAGTGAGTATGACTAAGGTCTCATTCCAGAGACTTCAGTGATTTACTACATCCCACAGGGCATCCTAGTCTCATTTCCATCAAGTCACATAAGGAGTTTATTGAATACCACCTATGTACAGAGCAGTGTGCAAAGCACTAGAGTCCATACCGAGACATATAATTCCGTGTTGTTCTTCTAAATCTTGTAGTATAGTTGGGCTCTCACAAATTAAATAATAGTACAAAACAATACTGTGCCAAGTGAGCAGTGAAAATAGGGGCTAGAGAAGTCAGTAGGAGAGCGGTCAGGTTGTGACAGACCTGTTAATTGCTGGAAATGCTTGGTCTGATGAGGGTTACTGAGCACATGGTCCAATATGTCCCAGGTGTGTGTCCATCTGTAACCACCCCCTGCTCCCTCTCTCTCAAGTCACCTTCCACCACACACACAACACACACACACACACACACACACAGCTTCGTTTGTGTTTACCACAGGTTACAACCTACCAAGTCACCATCTCCCTGCCACACTTTTGCACAGGGAGGAGGAGACCAGAACTTTATGATACCCACAAACATTTTCATCATACCCCAGAGTTGACATGCATGAGGTGGGCAGCTGTGCCTTGTGAAGAGCAGTCAGTAAACAGGTGCTTGGAGCCTACGCTGCCAAAGAGGGAATCAGAAATCTTCTCAGCCCGTAGATGAACTATGGAAATTTTCAGCCAAATCAAGTAACTAATCATAGATATTTGTTTTACATCTTGGATCTTCCAGCTGTACTCAAGTCCTGAAGCCTTCAGCTGCCATCAGCACTGACACAGTTCTACAGTCTCCCGAGAGTGCAGGGTTAGACTGGCCTTAGTTTCCCTCTCTTTAGCCTGAGGATAATAATAGCTACCTTGCAGTATTATTGTGAGAAGTATTGTTAATGAGACTGTGTCTGAACATGCTTTGTAAATGGGAATATCATCTGTTAATTCTAGAGCACTGTACAGATATATAAAGGAGAAGAGAGAAAAGAGAAAACATTTTAATCCTTATTCTCTATCAGCACTAGAATAAGTGCTTTGCATACATCATCATCTTGCCCTCTCCACAATCCTGTGAGGTTAACGCTGTGAGACTAACTTGATTTTACAGAGGAAGACATTGAGTTTTGAAAAGATAAAATTTGCTTGGTTAGTAAGGTGGACAAGAACTGAGCCCATCTCTTGCACTCTACTGCCTCTTGGCCCAAAGGTTAACATGGCACTTATGCCTCCTTAGGTTCCCCCAATAGGTGCTGGAGTTTGACAAGGGTCCGATGTCTTCTTTGGTCTTGAGAAATAGATAAGTGATTCTGTGTCCCTAGGATGAAGCACATAGAGAAGAAAGGTCTGATCAGCCAGCAGCATTTTTTTTGGCAGTGATAGATACCTGGGCTGAACCTGCTCTACTTGCTAGGTGTGCGCACAGGCACTTACAGTTACAGTTGCATCGACTGATTTCCCATGGGGTGTTCACATTAAAATTCATCATTTTTTTTTTTTTTTTTTTTTTTTTTTTTTTTTTAGACGGAGTCTGGCTCTGTCACCCAGGCTGGAGTGCAGTGGCCCAATCTCGGCTCACTGCCAGCTCTGCCTCCCAGGTTCATGCCATTCTCCTGCCTCAGCCTCCGGAGTAGCTGGGACTACAGGTGCCCGCCACCACACTTGGCTAAGTTTTTTGTATTTTTTAGTACAGACGGGGTTTCACCATGTTAGCCAGGATAGTCTCGATCTCCTGATCTCATCCACCCGCCTCAGCCTCCCAAAGTGCTGAGATTACAGGCATGAGCCACCACACCCAGCCTAAAATTCATCTTTTTTGTGGCTGCCCTCACACCTGTGTTTCCCAGTCTGCATCTTTGTCCATTTTGTGTGTGTCTCAGCTACAGTGATATGCTGGCATTCACCCTGACTGCCTTCCTAGAGCTCATGGACCATGGCATTGTCTCCTGGGACATGGTTTCAATCACCTTTATTAAGCAGGTGAGGCATCCAACATTCTGTCTTTCTCTCCTCCCTCAGCTGCCAGTTCACAGGGTTTAAGGGGAGATACAAGCAATATCGCTATTTTGGTGATATCAGCTTTATATTCCCTGGGGCCAGATTTTTCATCCTCAAGTTCTGGTCTTTTGTGGCTTCTGAAAGATGTGGATTTTGTTATACTCTCAGGGCCTGCACTGAGATGGAACTGGACCGTCAGAACTAAATATGATCAAAGTAGAGTTAGGTTGTCAGTGAGACTGGGGATAAAGCCAGCCAGTCAACCAGGACTATCCCTGAGTCTTTTGACTGACTTCCTGAGCTCTCTCTTCTCTTTGGATTAAAAAAAAATGTGCATTTCATTTGCAAATCTGCCTTCTATTTACAAATCTGCAAGGTAGCCTGTTTGTATTGTCAGACTAAGCTCAGTGGGTAGGAGAGGGTACTTCTGGTTTTACCTTCCTTTCTTTTATACAAAGGAGCAGTGTCAATTCAGAAAACTGAATTAAAACCATTGAATAATACTCTCTCTGCTGCCCTAGAACTTCACTTATCATTGGCTTAGGACATTGGGACTCCCCGACCCTGGACACAAGTGAAATGACCATGTGTCAGGTATATTATAATGGGGATTGAGAAGAAGGATTAGAGTAAAAGGCTTCAAGGTCCTTTCTACCTCTCAAAGTCTTAAGTGTGTTTAGGGAGAATGTGTGTCAGGGGAGGAATACATGGAGATAAAATGAGATCCCAGTATGAGTAAAATCCTCTGCTGTTTTTTTTTCTTTTGATGGAGCCTCACTCTGTCACCCAGGCTGGAGTGCAGTGGCGCGATCTCAGCTCACTGCAAGCTCTGCCTCCTGGGTTCACACCATTCTCCTGCCTCAGCCTCCCGAGTAGCTGGGACTACAGGCACCCGCCACCACACCCGGCTAATTTTTTGTATTTTTAGTAGAGATGGGGTTTCATAGTGCTAGCCAGGATGGTCTCGATCTCCTGACCTCATGATCGTCCGCCTCGGCCTCCCAAAGTGCTGGGATTACAGGTGTGAGCCACCGTGCCTGGCAATCTTCTGCTTTTTTATACCCCACTTTCTCATGCTGGAACTCTTATTTTGATAAAAAGAATTAAGCTTTTAGATTTTGAGGAAACACAATTAAGTGGATACTATAATCTGAAATTAAGGTATCCATGCCAAGGGAATCCCTGGCACATTGGCCAGGGTAGCCGTAAACCAGGTACCACTGTCCACCTAGCAATAGCTGCCCAAATGTGAAGCAGAGAGAGCTCCAAGGGCTAGCATCAGATGCTAAGCTTCTATCTTTCTTAGGCCCTGAGCTTCTCAATTGATGTGCCATCTCTGGGCCTAGATTGCAGGGTATGTGAGCGAGCCCACGGTGGATGTTTCAGTCCTTCAGAGGTCCCTGGCCATCCTGGAGAGCATAGTCCACACCAGAAGATACCAGAGTCTGTACCAGAAGATAGCTGAGGAAATCACCATGGGACAGCTCATCTCACACTTCCAGGTGTGAGTAAAAGACCCTACACCCCTACACCTCCCTCCCTTCACTTGTCTGTCCTCGTCTCTCCTCTTATTTGAAGTCTTCCAATCCTACTCTGCTTTGCTTATATTCCAAGCTGCTGGTTGGCTTCTTCATTCATCGCCTCTTCCACACTCCTGCCAGAATTTCTACCATCATTCAGACCTCATCATGTCATGCTCCTGCCTAAAATCCTCTGTAACTCTCTCTGCCCCTTAGGTTAAAATGAAGATTTTCCCAGTCTTCCCATACTGCCCTAGTACCAGGCAAAATTAGATGCTTCCTCCCCACATGAGCCCAGTAGTCTGTTTGTACCTATGATAATTATATAAAATACTGGATTTTTATTATCTGTTGCCCATTTTGAACATAGAGCCCCCTAGAAACAGAGATCAATCATTGTCATATCCCCTGTTTTATTAGTACTTGTTGAATGAATGCTTACTGAACTGATGATGCGCTGTGGGTGATTGTAAGAAGTATCACACAGGGCGTGAGTTTGGAATATCAATTCAAATCCAGGCTCTTCTGCATACTGGGTCTCTGCTATCAGCAAGTAACCTAGTCTCTTCTGGCCTCAGTTTCTTCATCTCTAGACTAGGTTAATCATCTTCACTTCTCACGTGAGGATCAAAGGAGATTTTAAAAAAGTCTAGCATAGTGGCCAGCACAGGTTAAGTATTCAGTAAATTCAGGGGCTTTTTGCTTTTGTTTGTTAAGACTCTCATCACATCCTAAAACATTTTACCAGTAATGAAACCATATGACAAATGAACCCATTGGAGTTATGTTTCTCCTGTCTTCATTGTTTTTACTTCCTGTCCAACCAACCTACACCAGGTAAGGAAGCTGGACTTTGCAGAACAGCGGTGGCACTACTGATGATTCTGTTCTGACTGTTGTTCACTTCTGTCTTTTTGGATATTGTCAGAATGTTGCCAGAATCCCCCCACCAGTTTGAGGGGAAGTCATAGCTCCCAGATTTGGGAGGTTATAGTGACCCTGTTTTCACTCAGCTATGTTCCCAACTTGTTTCTCCCCACTAATCCAAGTAAAAAGGAAGCACAATTATTTCTTTGCAACTCTGATTTCTCCTTGTCACTTTTAAGAAATTTTCAGCCTCAGCTTTCTTTGCCTTTCTTTTTTGAAACAATCTGTCACCCAGGCTGGAGTGCAGTGGCATGATCATAACTCACTGCAGGTTCAAGCAGTCCTCCTCATCTCAGCCTCCTGAGTAGCTGGAATCATAGGCACACTCCACCACACCTGGCTAGTTTTTTTTTTTGTTTTTTAATTATTTATTTATTTATTTTTTTGAGACAGAGTCTCGCTCTGTTGCCCAGGCTGGAGTGCAGTGGTGCCATCTCGGCTCACTGCAAGCTCCGCCTCCCAGGTTCATGCCATTTTCCTGCCTCAGCCTCCCAAGTAGCTGGGACTACAGGTGCCTGCCACCATGCCTGGCTAATTTTTTGTATTTTTAGTAGAGATGGGGTTTCACTGTGTTAGTCAGGATGGTCTCGATCTGACCTCGTGATCTGCCCGCCTCGGCCTCCCAAAGTGCTGGGATTACAGGCCTGAGCCACCACACCTGGCCAATTTTTTTTTTTATTTTTGTAGAGATAGGGTCTCGCTGTGTTGTCCAGGCTGGTCTCAAACTGTTGGGCTCAAGCAGTCCTCCCACTCCAGCCTCCTTAGTAGCTGGGACTACAGGTGTGAGCCACCATGCCTGGTCTAGCCTCAGCTTTCATACCCAGTGAGCCACCAAGGTTGATGAAGATGAGAGGGATATTATAAACTCCAGATAGAGAATTCTGATTTTCCCGTAACCTCACGTCTACCTCTGTTTTTTTGTCTCTGAATTCGGAGTGGCCCTAGTTGCCTCCCTAGGGTCGATACGGGAACATGGCATTTCACAGGGGCCAATCGTGAATACTTTCAGCCCACAGCTGTCGCCAGAACCTATATGCTTTCCTATTTGGGCTGAGGGACACTTCGTGCCCTCTGGTAGACTCTCTGGGTACCCTGTGACTAACCAGGAAGCCCATCAGCCCCTCTGGAAAGACAGCCACAGAATGCTCCCAAGACATGGCAGGTGGAGATGTCAAGTACTGAGATTGTAAGATTCCAGGGAATGATTGTAGTTATTTTGTTTGTTCATAATAAAATAAGTTTATAGTCAAGACTTTAAAAATACAGAAAAACCCAAAAATAAATTATTTGCCCATTATCTCACCTCCAGACATACCCACTGTTAAACATTAAATATCCCTTCAGTATTTTTTATGCATATTTTTAACAAAATTGGGATCTTATTATATATACTATGTGTACCTTGATTTTTTTTAACTGAATAATATATCTTGAACATTTCTCCATGTCAAAGATTTTTCTAAAAGGTAGTTCTAAGTCTTTTTTGCAACCTAGACACCTTTGAAAATCTGGTTAACAAGTATGTACTCTCACCAGTTTGGAGAAAATACCACTTCGTCAGCAAACTACATAGAATAATTTCTGTATCATTCCTGGGGTTCACAGATACTCTAAGCCCATCCCTGAATCCCAGGTTAAGAATGTTTATTTACCCTAAAACATGACTTTTAATAACTACTTAAGATTCTCATATATATAAACAGTTGGCTACTGTGATCATTTGGATTACTTTCCATTCTTTTTTAAGTTGTACTTTAGTGAAATGCCTTGTCAGTAAATCTTGCATAGCTCTCTGATTACTGTCTTAGGATAAGTTTCTATTAGTGAAATTGCTGGGTCAAGAGCATGTCCACTTTGGATGCTTTTGAGACTTAGCTCCAGGTCATTATTTGCTTATAATCTGTAAATGATTGTTTTAAACTATCTCTAAGCATCATCTTGCTGTTCAGTCTTCTAATCTCCCTGTGCCGTCTTTCTCCATTGACATAGCTCCAGACAGGAGATTCAGACCTACGCCATTGCACTGATTAATGCACTTTTTCTGAAGCCTCCCGAGGACTAGAGACAGATCTGTGGCTGCCTTTTCACATTCTTCATCTGGGCTCTTCTGAGAGAAGAATTCTCACCCCACGTACTCTTTGCTGTTCAGAGAGCACAAATCCAGGCATTTTCCCAAGAGTCCTTCCTCCTAGCCCTCTGGTCTAGAGCCCAGCAGGGTGGCTTTGCTAAGGAAGACCCAGGGAAGAACTATGAGGAGAAACCAGCTGGATCTTAGATGAGATTAGGGCCCTTCAAACTTTTTCCTCTAAAGGGCCAGAGAATAAACATGTTTGACTTTATGGGCCATATGGCCTATGTGATAGCTACTCAACCTTGCCATTGTAGCCAGAAGCAGCCTCAGACAGTAGGTAAATGAATGGGTATGGCTGTCTTCCAATAAAATCTTATTTACAAAAACAGGCAACAAGCCTAATATGGCCATAGTTTGCCAACTCCTGGGTTAGAGGATCAAGAATAAGGAAGAAGAGACCCTGTGGGTACCCTGAGTCCAAGGGCTCCAATATAAATGGGACTTCACACTAAGTTTTATGTTTAAAGGTTCTCTGATGCAGATTCTAAACATCTTCTTTCGCCTGTTCATTAACTGTGACATTATGCAAATAGCTCTGCCTCTGTGAACCTTAGTTTCCTCACCTGTCACATGGCAGCAACAACATCTGCCTTGTTTAGCTCACAAGGGTGTCTGAGGAAAAACAAGCTCCCTGTTTCACAGATGAGGAAACTAAGAATCAGCTGGGTGGTGGAACAAGCCCTGACCTAAGAGCCAAGGGGCCTGGAACTAAGTACTCTCCCTGCTGCTGGCTGGGCAAGTGCTTGTAACCTCTTTGGGTCTCAGTTTCTCTTTTTGTAAAATGAAAGGGCCAGTTTAAATGATCTCTGACAGCCCTTCCAACACTAACATTCTAGATTTCTCTGAGAAAAGCCCAAGTGGTGTTAAAAGTAAGACGTTTTAGTTCTCTGACAATCTCATGGGCTCAGTAAGATGAAATCTAAGTGGGATCATGTATGTACCCAGCTCTTGGTAGATTCTAGAGGGAAGACCAAAAGCATCTGTGGTTCTTTCTGTCCTTGTCTTTGGTGGATGGCTTGGCTCTGTTAATCTTCCTTCCTGGTCCTTGTTTGAATGTAAGCTGAAAGCTCATTCCGTCTGCTTCTCTCTATGCTTTTGCTTTCTGCCGGCAGGACAAGCACCTTAATCCTCTAGACCTGCCTGTCACTGTAAGTAACACCATTATGTGGAAAGGGCCCTGGCTCTTCCAGGTGGGGAAGTCAAACCTGGGCAAAAATCTCATGGTCTGATCTAGATGTTCAGGGCATGCCAAGACCCAGGGAAAGTTTGTGTGCTGTGAATCTCCTTTGTCAGGACACTTAGGGAAGTACTGCAGATGAGAGTCACAGAAAGGATTAAGGGGGTACATGCCCCAGGGAGTATGGCCCCAGCCTTCCTTTGAAACTTGCCTTTGCATGGGTCTGTGGTTCAACTAGGGAAGACCAGACTCAGAAACAGCTGTGACTCAGCACATCAAGAAGCTTATCCACCATGATCAAGTGGGCTTCATCCCTGGGATGCAAGGCTGGTTCAACATATGCAAATCAATAAAAGTAATCCAGCATATAAACAGAACCAAAGACAAAAACCACATGATTATCTCAATAGATGCAGAAAAGGCCTTTGACAAAATTCAACAACCTTCATGCTAAAAACTCTCAATAAATTAGGTATTGATGGGACGTATCTCAAAATAATAAGAGCTATCTATGACAAACCCACAGCCAATATCATACTGAATGGACAAAAACTGGAAGTATTCCCTTTGAAAACTGGCACAAGACAGGGATGCCCTCTCTCACCACTCCTGTTCAACATAGTGTTGGAAGTTCTCGCCAGGGCAATCAGGCAGGAGAAATAAATAAAGGGCATTCAATTAGGAAAAGAGGAAGTCAAATTGTCCCTGTTTGCAGATGACATGATTGGATATTTAGAAAACCCCATCATCTCAGCCCCAAATCTCCTTAAGCTGATAAGCAACTTCAGCAAAGTCTCAGGATACAAAATCAGTGTGCAAAAATCACAAGCATTCTTATACACAAATAACAGACAAACAGAGAGCCAAATCATGAGTGAACTCCCATTCACAATTGCTTCAAAGAGAATACAATACCTAGGAATCCAACTTACAAGGGATGTGAAGGACCTCTTCAAGGAGAACTACAAACCACTGTTCAATGAAATAAAAGAGGATACAAACAAATGGAAGAACATTCCATGCTCATGGATAGGAAGAATCAATATCATGAAAATGGACATACTGCCCAACGTAATTTATAGATTAAATGGCATCCCCATCAAGCTACCAATGACTTTCTTCACAGAATTGGAAAAAACTACTTTAAAGTTCATATGGAACCAAAAAAGAGCCTGCATTTCCAAGACAATCCTAAGCCAAAAGAACAAAGCTGGAGGCATCATGCCACCTGACTTCAAACTATACTACAAGGCTACAGTAACCAAAACAGCATGGTACTGGTACCAAAACAGAGAAATAGACCAATGGAACAGAACAGAGCCCTCAGAAATAATGCCACACATCTACAACCATCTGATCTTTGACAAACCTGACAAAAACAAGAAATGGGGAAAGGATTCCGTATTTAGTAAATGGTGCTGGGAAAACTGGCTAGCCATATGTAGAAAGCTGAAACCGGATCCCTTCCTTACACCTTATACAAAAATTAATTCAAGATGGATTAAAGACTTACATGTTAGACCTAAAACCATAAAAACCCTAGAAGAAAACCTAGGCAATACCATTCAGGATGTAGGCATGGGCAAGGACTTCATTTCTAAAACACCAAAAGCGATGGCAACAAAAGCCAAAATTGACAAATGGGATCTAATGAAACTAAAGAGCTTCTGCACAGCAAAAGAAACTACCATCAGAGTGAACAGGCAACCTACAGAATGGGAGAAAATTTTCACAACCTACTCATCTGACAAAGGGCTAATATCCAGAATCTACAATGAACTCAAACAAATTTACAAGAAAAAAACAAACAACCCCATCAACAAGTGGGCGAAGGATATGAACAGACACTTCTCAAAAGAAGACATTTATGCAGCCAAAAAACACATGAAAAAATGCTCATCGTCACTGGCCATCAGAGAAATGCAAATCAAAACCACAATGAGATACCATCTCACACCAGTTAGAATGGTGATCATTAAAAAGTCAGGAAACAACAGGTGCTGGAGAGGATGTGGAGAAATAGGAACACTTTTACACTGTTGGTGGGACTGTAAACTAGTTCAACCATTGTGGAAGACAGTGTGGCGATTCCTCAGGGATCTAGAACTAGAAATACCATTTGACCCAGCCATCCCATTACTGGGTATATACCCAAAGGATTATAAATCATGCTGCTATAAAGACACATGCACACGTATGTTTATTGCAGCACTATTCACAATAGCAAAGACTTGGAACCAACCCAAATGTCCACCAATTATAGATTGGATTAAGAAAATATGGCACGTATACACCATGGAATACTATGCAGCCATAAAAAATGATGAGTTCATGTCGTTTGTAGGGACATGGATGAAGCTGGAAACCATCATTCTCAGCAAACTATTGCAAGAACAAAAAACCAAACACCGCATGTTCTCACTCATAGATGGGAATTGAACAATTAGAACACTTGGACACAGGAAGGGGAACATCACACACCGGGGCCTGTTGTGGGGTGGGGGAAGGGAGGAGGGATAGCATTAGGAGATATACCTAATGTAAATGATGAGTTAATGGGTGCAGCACACCAACATGGCACATGTATACGTATGTAACCTGTATGTAACATTGTGTATATGTACCCTAGAACTTAAAGTATAATTAAAAAAAAAAAAACAGCTGTGACTTTGATCTAGACAATACCATGGATGCGTCACCTTCTTACTTGCTTTAGCGGAGTAAAGCAAGCTTTTGCTTTACAAAAGCTTTACAGAGAAGCTTTTGGTCTTAAGACCTTTGTATTCTGGCTGCAGACCACTGTCAATTACACATTTTGTGAGTTGTCCATAGCAAGATTTAATCTCAGTTGACCTCCTAGGGTTAACCAAAGAAGTTTCTAGGCCACTATCCTCCTCTGCCAGCCAGTATGTATTCATTGAATGCGAAGTAAAATTTAATGTTCCTGGCAGCATCAGCCATTTGGAAAGTGGCTAGAAATCCAGAAGTGAGAGAGAGGGGCCTTTCAGCTCTGAGAAGAATGACACAGAGCTCACAGATACTACTCCGTAGGAGAGGTGTGACAGCTCCCTCAGGCCCATTGATTTAGGATTCTCTATAAAATTAAATGAAGGCAGCAGTTTAGGAAATGAAGTCATAGTAATTAACATTAGTAAGAAGTGATGGGCAACATTGGAAGGAGGAGACAGAAGAATTATGAAAAGCTGTCAGAAGAATTAAAGGCATTGTAATCTGGGACCATTTTGTTTATGGGAAAAGAGCTTCACATCTCAATAGCTCCTCAGGGTATCACAGTGTCACAACACAGAATAATCACTGATGTTCTTTTTGATGAAGCCGACTCCTTAGCACTGACTAAATTATAATCACTGTAGTCACTTCAGAAATAAAGAAATGTATATATCTTTAAAAGATTTGCATAAGAATGGTCAAAATAATGGTTCTGAGAGAACCCTTAAAGCTTTGCTCCCTGGAAGATTGATTTATGTAGGATACTTGATTTCCTGGGTGGGCTAAATAAATAAAGCATAACTGTCAAAATCTGGATCAAATATTATAAAAAAGGTGAGCCTGTTATAAAAAATTACCCAAAGCGCCTGACCCATTGTTCTCTAAGCCAGTTAGAACTGAATCCTAGACTACTTACTGTTGTAGAGCGTCCAGGCCCCAGCCCGTCTGCTGTAGGGTGGGACGGGGTTGCTGGACCAAAGTCCCTCTTTGTTTGGAGTCAGTGCTTCACCAGAGTTCCTTCTAGCCTTAGCGGTGGGGTCTGCCTGGCATGATGCGTGTGGCTTGGAAACCATCATGCTGCTCTGTGTCCATGTGCAATGTCCTTGTGACACAAGCGTCTCATTTTCAAGCAGTCCACATCTCTTTTTGAAGACAGTGCAGTTGATTGTGCCGTTAGGAAGGGAAATCCTATTTGAATTAATTTGCACTCACAAAAATGGGGAATGTTTCAGAGTGTAAAATACATTTGATGGTCAGTGGATTTTCATTCATTCACCCACTTTTCATTTGGGAGGAAAAAAATTTAAGAAAGTGAAAAAGGACCGGAGTTACGACATCAGCTTCCTCTCGATAGTACCGACGCACAGAGGAACCTAATCAATAGGTAAATACCTCTCGAACTGAAGAGCTTTTTCCTGTGATCCTCTGTGAGCAAAGTTGCCTTGAGGCAGCCATCTCGCCAGCAATTGAAGCGCCTCCAGGGAGGGACCAAAGACAGCTCTACTGTTTGTAGCCCTGCAAATCTAGAATTTTTATCCAGAGGGAATATGTTAAAATAGGCATGAAAAGGGAAAGTAACTCATCCAGCTGACACTGATTAAAAACCTGAATTGTTTAGGGCACTGACAGAACTAAGTAATCAAATGTATTTGCTCTCAAAGACCTTCTGGGCCGGTAGGAAAGACTAGTGATCATAGTGCGGTGTGATCCAGGTTTGTGGTCTGGGAAAGGATGGAGGAGGAACAGTAAGTTCTGTCTTGAAGTGTTTCTGGAAACATTTAGAGGAATGTCTTCAGACGAGCCTTGGAGGATGAGTAGGCAGACTAGGAATAACAGGAATTTCAGCCAGAGGGTGGCTAGAACCCAGAAGGAGTGTGTCGATTAGGCACAGGGCAAGGAGCAAGTGGGTGAGGAGGCTGGAGAGGTAGCGAGGACCAGATCAGGAAAGGCCTTAGTCTCATTCCTAAGGACAGCTGAGGGCATTTAATTAAGTTGGTGAAATATCTAGATTTGCATTTTAGAAAGAGCACAGGAAAGACCTGTGTAGCTAATGGGTCCCTGAGGGAGGAGAGCAGAGCAGGAGTTGGCAGGTGGATCTGGAAAGAGGTGTAAATCCCTGTTACCGCCTGTGGGGTGGAGTAGGGCCAATGTTGGGAGGTGGGGCCAGTGGGAGTGGAGGAGGAGAGCCAAGGATCTGAATTAAAAGGAGGCAACTTTGGCCAGGCGCAGTGGCTCACGCCTGTAATCCCAGCACTTTGGGAGGCCGAGGCAGGAGGATTGCCTGAGGTCAGGAGTTTGAGACCAGCCCGACTGACATGGTGAAACCTCGTCTCTAATAAAAATGCAAAAATTAGCTAGGTGTGGTGGCAGACACCTGTAATCTCAGCTACTCAGGAGGCTGAGGTGGGAGAATTGCTTGAACCCTGGAGGCAGAGGTTGCAGTGAGCCGAGACTGGGCCATTGCACTCTAGCCTAGACAACAAGAGTGAAACTCCATTTCAAAGAAAAAAGAGGCAAGTTTATCAATTGTCAGAAACAAGGGAAACCTGTGAGACCACAGTGAAGGGAATAAAATGAAAAATTAGAAGATTAGAAGTCAAGTGTAAGATTTAAGCTAAAGATGGACTTAGGAGTCAGCAAGCCCCTCCTCTGCCATTTTCCAATCTTTGATCTTGAGCAATTCACGTAACTTCTCTAGACTTCAATTTGCTCATCTGGATATGAGGACTAAGTGAGCCAGTGTATATACCACGCTTAGCAGGGTGCCTGGCACTCAGTAAGCCACTTTTTCCATTTTTTTCCCCTAAACACTTAATAGGAAACTTTTTTTTTTTTTTGAGACGGAGTTTCGCTCGTTGCCCAGGCTGGAGTGCAATGGTGTGATCTTGGCTTACTGCAACCTCCACCTCACAGGTTCAAGCCGTTCTTCTGCCTCAGCCTCCCGAGTAGCTGGGGGTTATAGGCATGCGCCACCACTCCGGGCTAATTTTGTATTTTTAGTAGAGACGGGGTTTCACTGTGTTAGTCAGAAGATCTCTATCTCCTGACCTCGTGATCCACCTGCCTCTGCCTCCCAAAGTGCTGGGATTACAGGCATGAGCCACTGCGCCCGGCCCAAATATTTCATTTTCAAGGCTGGAGGAGTTTGAGGGCTCATGGATATTTCCTGCTGTTTACTGGGGAGAAATATATTGGATGAGCTCATTACAAATTTCTATAATTATAATCTCTAAAAACTTAAAGTAGTTAATGCTAATTTACTTTAATCGTTATCAGACTGTATTTATAGCGACAGATTTTAGGATTCACAGATTTTAGTATAGACAATTCAAGCTGGGCACAATTGTATGCGCCTGTAGCCCCAGTTACTTGGGAGGCTGTGGCTGGAGGATTGCATGAATCTAGGAGTTCAAGGCCAGCCTGGGCAACATGGTGGGACCCCATATCTCTCTCTCTCTTTTTTTTTTTTTTGAGATGGAGTCTGTCTGTTGCCCAGGCTGGAGTGCAGTGGTGCGATCTTGACTCACTGCAACCTCTGCCTCCTGGTTCAAGCAATTCTCATGCCTCAGCCTCCCGAGTAACTGGGGTTACAGGCATGAGCCACTGCAGCTGGCTAATTTTTGTAGAAAGATACAGAACAATTCCAGTTTCCCAAAAAATGACCTTGTGCTGCTTTTTTCTTAGGCAAACCACCCTCCATCCCAGTCCCTGGCAATCACTGATGTCTTCTCTGCCCCTATAGCTTTAGCTTTTCCAGAATGTCATATAAATGTGATCATACTGCATATAATCTTTGCAGCTGGTTTCTTTCACTTAATACAGTGCAGTTGAGGTTCATCCATGTCACTGCATGTATCAGTAGTTCATTACTGCAGAGTACTGTTTCATTATGTAGATGTACCACAGTTTCTTTATTCATGTACACATTGAAGGACATGTGAACTGTTTTCGGTTTTTGACTATAGGTTAAATATCCCTTATCCAAGATGCTTGAGACCAGAAGTGTTTCAGATTTCAGTGTTTTAGGATCTTGCAATATTTGTATATACATAATGAGATAGCTTGGGGATGGGACCCAAGTCTAAGCACAAAATTTATTTATGTTTCATATACACCTTGTATAAAATAAGGCGAAGGTAATTTCATACAATATTTTAAATATTTTCAGTGCATGAAACAAAGTTTGTGTTAAGTACTTACGTGTGGAATTTTCCACTTGCATCATGTCAGTGCTCAAAAAGTTTTGGATTTGGGAGCATTACAGATTTCAGATTTTTGGATTTGGGATACTCAATCTGTATTATAACTAAATATTGCTATCAATTTTTGTGTACAAGATTCTCTGTGAACTTAAGTTTTTATTTCATTAGGATACTTAGAAGTAGGATGGTTGAGGCATATATGATAGGTATGTATTGAACATTTTAATGAAACTGCCAAACTGTTTTCCAGGATTCCTGTGCCATTTCTGCATTTCCACTAGCAATGTATGAAAAACTTCAATTGCTTCACATACTCACCATTTTTCATGCTAGTCATTCTAATAAGTTCATAGTTATAGTCAGTATGATTTTAATTTGCACTACTGTAATGATTATGATATTGAGCATCCTTGCATTTATTTATTTGACAGATACTTTTTTTGGTGAAATGTCTGTTTAAATATTTTGTTCATTAAAATTTTTTTTCTTAATTTTGAGTTTTGAGAGTTCTTTATATATTCTGGGTACAAATATTTTCTCTGAGTATGTGGCTTGTCTTTTCTTACAGTGTCCTTCACAGAGGAGAAATTTTAATTTTGATGAAGTTTACTGATATTCAGTTGTATAATACATTTTGGGTTAATTTTTGCATATGGAGTGAGGAATGAGTGTAAGTTAACATTTTTGCATGCGGATATTCAGTTGTTCCAGCATCATTTGGTGATATGATTATCCTTTTTCCAATGTTGCCTTTGCACCTTTATCGTAAACTAATTGACTATATTTCTGAACTCTAGTTTGTTTCCTCATTCTGTGTGTCTCATTTTGTCAATACTACATTGTTTTGATCACTGTAGTTTTTGTATGTCTTAAAATTATTGTGTGATTCTTGCATATCCCCCCAAAATTGTTTTGCATTTTCTAGTTTTTTTTTTTTTACCTTTCCATAGAAATTTTAAACTTAGTTTATATCTACAAAATATCCTGTTGGGATTTTGATTGAAGTTGCATTGAGTCTATAGATCAATTTGGGGAGAATTGATGACTAACTTGAGTCTTACTACATGAACATGGAATGTCTCTTCATTATATGTTTAAAAAGTTTTATTTTATCACTATTTTAGAGTGTTAATGTACAGATTCTGTAGATGTTTTGTTAGGGTGAAAGCAATACTTCTTTGTTGTTGTTATGGTTGGAGCTATTGAAAAGTAGTACTTTAAAAAGGATTTATTTTCCATTTGTTCATTATTGGTATATTGAAATATACTAGATCTTGCTAAACTCACTTATAAGTTATAGAAACTTTTTTTTGTAAATTCCTTGGGATTTTCTACATAGATCATCATGCCATCTGCAAATATTTCTCTCATTCAAATCTAAATGTCATTTATTTATTTTTCTTATACTGGCTACAGCTTTCAGTAAAATATTGAATCATGGGTGATAAGAGTGGACATCCTTGCTTTCTTCCCAGTTTCTGGGGAAACACCTAGTCTTTCATCATTAAGTATGATGCTAGCTGTAGGTTTTTTTCTGCTTGCCTTTTTTCAGATTGAGGACGTCTCTTTTATTCCTAGGTTGCTGAGAGTTTTTATTATGAATGTATGTTGAATTTTGTAAAATGCTTTTTTATTAGTAATTGATATGGTTATGTGATTTTTCTTGTTTCATCCGTTAATTATGATGAATTACACTGATTGCTTTTCAAATGTTGAATCAGCCTTGAATTCCTGGGGTAAACCTCACTTGGTCATAATGTTTTATTCCTTTAATATATTCTGGATCAATGTGCTTATATTTTGTTGAGGAGTCTTTGCATCTGTATTCCTAAGGTATATTGTCTATACCTCCTTGTCTTGTATAACTAAGTGACTTGGACCTTTTTGATGTCTATAAATGCTTACTTAATGATAGTTCCTTCAAATTGAGCGGTTACAGTACAGCTTACCTCTCCCTTAATTTTGCCTTGTTTTGTTTTTTGTTTTGGTTGAGTGGTATCTTAGTATGTTTGGGCTGCTATAACAAGGTACCTTAGACTGGGTAATGTATAAATAATGGAAATTTATTGCTCACCATTCTGGAGGCTGGGAAGTCCAAGATCAAGGCACTAGAAGATTTGGTGTCTAGTGTGGGCCCATTTGTCACAGATAGTGTCTTCTTTGTGTCCTTACATGTTGGAAAGGGTAAATAAACTCACTCAGGCCTCTTTTATAAGGGTACTAACCTCATTCATGAGGGTGTAGTCCTTATGACCTACTTACCTCCCAAAGGCTCCACCTCTTAACATTATTACATTGGAGATTAAATTTAACATATGATTGGGGGCAAGCAAAAACATTCAGACCATAGCAGGTAAAATCAGAGCATTTCAACCCGGCATGGTGGCTCACACCTGTAATCCCAGCACTTTGGGAGGCCAAGGCGGGCAGATCACGAGGTCAGGAGATCGAGACCATCCTGGCTAACACGGTAAAAATCCATCTCTACTAAAAATACAAAAAACTAGCCGGGCATGGTGGCACGAGCCTGTAGTCCCAGTTACTTGAGAGGCTGAAGCAGGATAATTGCTTGAACCCAGGAAGCGGAGGTTGCAGTAAGGCGAGATTGCACCACTGTACTCTAGCCTGGGCACAGAGTGAGACTCGGTCTCCAAAAAAAGTTTTTATCAGCTGAAATGTTTTTGATTTTCCTTTTTTGTTGTCTTTATATATGAAATAGGTTTGTATGGATAGCTTTATATGAAACTTGCCTCCTATTTTCTGTATTTTTTGAAATACTTTAAATTATCCTTGGTTAATGTGATATTCCATATGGAAGAGATCAGAGGTTTCAGTTGTTTCTAGAACTCTTACTTTCTTAGTTCTTTAGTTCTTTTCTTAGTTATTGATATTTATATATCAAGAGAATCACCACTTTATTCAAAAAATGTGCTGCAAATACATTCTCTAGTTTATGTGTTTTTCTATATAGTGTTTTATTTCTATGTGGCATTTAATGTTTTTTGTATTTACATTTCTCACGCTTATTTTGTTCTTTCTGATAAATTATTTATGAACATTTTCCCCAGTCTGAGATTGAAATATGTATATATGTACGTATATATGTTTGTATTCCTACCTGCCATGGCCTATTCTAGATCTTAAATCTTAGATTTGTTTGGTGTTTATTTTGAAGTAGGACATGAGATAGGCTCCAACATGCATATGTACTCGGTCTGTTAATTTTGTGTGGATCAATATCTAGTGGACCTTTCTTTGTTTACATCACTTTGTGTTTCAAATTACACTCAGGTGCTTCAGATAGTCTGTCAGTTTTTTCTCCTGAGTTCTCTCTGGGGGTCTCTGACCAGCTTCCACACAGATGGGCTGCTCTCTGTCTGGTGAAGGCTGTCACCTTGGAATCATCCTGGGATTCCCTTTGCCACTTTCCTTTTTTCAATATTCTCAATTTCCTTTTTTTATTTCCTCATGGTGAGTGTTGAGGGTATTCAGTGGAGTTGATGGTATGATACATGATTTTGGAAAGATAACGAAAAGCCAGACCATGAAGAACCTCATATGCCACGAGTTTTAGCTTCTTTTTAATGGTAGTGTAACTATTGAGAATATTTTATAGGTGAGTTATATTTGCTCTTATAGAGGATCCACTGTGGCTAAAATTTGTAGAATAGATGGAATAAAGGAAAATTAGGTAAAGCCTGTTGTAGTAATTCAGGAAAGATATAATAGTACATAGAAATAAGACAGCCATAGTGGGGGTGTCATTTTCACAGAGCTTGGGGTTAATTGGGCATGGGACAAAGGAAAGAAGGGTCAAGGATGGTACCCAGGCTTCTGAGTTTGGCTAGTAGACTGATCCTCAGAGTAGGAGTATCATGTTTAGAGTAGGCACTGAGTGTAATTTTGGACATACAGTGTAAATGATTGCAATAGATCCTTTGCCCACATTCACCAAATGTTAACATTCTACTATGTTTACTTTATGATTTATCTGTCTCTCTGTCTTTATCTCTTTCACTTTGTGTGCACATGTGTGTGAGTGTGTGTATGTTTTCTGACCCATTTGAGAAGTTTGTGGACATGATGCTTTTCTAAATCTAATTACTTCACTGAATGTTTCCTTGAAACAAGCCGTGATTGTCAAAATCAAGAAATTAACATTCAGTGTTGTTAGCTAATCTACAGACCTTATTCAGATTTTGCCAGTTGTCCCAATAGTGTTCTTTATGGGGAACAGAACTTCCAGATCTTGAATTGAAGTCAGTTATCATGTCTTTTTAATCTCATATAATCTGGAAGAGTTTTTCAGTCTATGATTGCTGGAAATTTGAATGGCTTTGGAATTATGTGTGTATATGTTGGGGGTGGTGTTGATATGGGAAACAGACTTGTGATTGTGGTCCTTAGACCACAGAGTATAAATTAGAATCAGGAATGCATCTGGGGAGATGGATTTTCTACTGTCTGTTGCTGGAAAGGTAGAAAACAGATCTTCTACTCAAGGATGACTGCATTGATTTGTTTTTTACCCGAGATGAATAATTTGGCTTTGATAATTTGGTTCAGGAACTAGGTGAGACTGATGCTTAGATATGTTTGTATCCTTAAGTAGTATAGAGTTTACATGGCATATACATGACTATGTAAATTCTTCCTACCTGGAAACATACCAGTGAATAGAAAAGGATTGGAGTGTGGCCAAAAAAAATCGAGCTTCTTAAATCTATCTTGGACACACAGTGTTACTGTTAGGTGCTGGCCTCTGTTAAGCTCTCTTGGGAACTTATATATTCCTGTTCTCTGTAGTCACCTTGCTGATATTATGATTCCATATTTCTGACTATTTACATTCATTAACCATGTGTGTGCATGTGTGTCTGTTTTCTGTTTGCATATTGATATAAATTATTTATAGTCTGTTTTTTAAAAGGGAAAGTAGCAGTATTCCTTGTCAATACTTAGTCCTCTGTGTTGAATTATACCTTTAATTGAAGAGTGGTATAGGAGTATATGTTTCTTTGTGTCATGTATTGAGTATTGTCTTCATTTTCTGTTAAGCCCTCAGATGTGTAGACCAGAGATATGATCTCTCTGTATGCAGCTCTTCTCAGAGATTTATATCTACATGCAGTTGTGACTGACAGTTGTATTATTTGCTGCCACATTTCCAGTTGTGTGATTGAGTAGTGAACAGGCAGGCTTTGTCATTCAACTGGCGTGGATTTTATACAAGGCCAGTTGAATTTTATCTGAATTTGGGTAAATTGCTTATTATCTGAATTTGGGTAATTGCTTAACTTTTCAATATTCATTTTTCTCTTTCAAGTGGGGACAATATTGTCAACTTTTTTTTTTTTTTTTTGAGATGGAGTCTTGCTCAGTCGCCTAGGCTGGAGTTCAGTAGCGCAATCTCGGCTCACTGCAAGCTCTGCCTCCTGGGTTCATGCCATTCTTCTGCCTCAGCCTCCCGATAGCTGGGACCACAGGCGCGTGCCACCACGCCTGGCTAATTTTTTTGTATTTTTAGTAGAGACGGGGTTTCACTGTGTTAGCCAGGATGGTCTCAATCTCCTGACCTCATGATCCGCCCGCCTTGGCCTCCCAAAGTGCTTGGATTACAGGTGTGAGCCACCATGCCCGGCCAATATTGTCAACTTTTTATGACTTTCAGATTTAAATGAGATAATATTAAAATTTAGTTATGGGATCTGGCACAAATTGAGAATGCGAAAACAGTAGTTGATATTATTTTACTTCCTGCCATCTGCTTGATTATTATAGGCTGTTCACCCTGAGAATTGAGACTGCCCTATTTTTTTATGTTCTCTCAAAAAATTTTTTAAATGTCTTCCACAAGATTTTGTCTCCACAGTTATCCATTTACTTGACAGCCTCTCAGCATACGTTAGAGCAAAAGCCTTCCTGGTTCTTCTATATATTTTGATTTATAACCGTGAAATGTTGCTGTTCAATTGCCAAGCAAGGTAAGATTTTCTCTGATGTTTTCTTCAGTAGCTTCAATTTAGTGCCTCTTGTATTAGTAGTTTTAGGGTATTTTTTGGCTTCTGTGTATCTGGTATATATTTTTTAAGAGTTTTTCCAGGGGCTTAATATTTCTTCTGTAATCTCAGTTTGGAAGTACTGAGGACCCCGAGAAGACCTCTGAAACTGTAGCAGGGTGAGAAATGCCTGGTGTGTCCTTGATATGATTTGGCTGTTTGTCCCCACCTGAATCTCACTTTGAATTATAATCCCCATAATCCCCATGTGTCAAGGGTGGGACCAAGTGAGGGTCATTGGATCATGGGAGTGGTTTTCCGCATTCTGTTCTTGTGATTATGAGTGAGTCTCACCACATCTGATTTTTATAAGGAGCTGGCGTTTCCCCTGCTGGCATTCACTCTATCCTGCCGGCTGTGAAGAAGGTGCCTGTTTTTCCTTTACCTTCTGCCGTCATTGTAAGTTTCCTGAGGCCTCCCCAGCAATGTGGATCAATTAAACCTCTTTCCTTTATAAATTACCCAGTCTCAGATATGTCTTCATAGCAGTGTGAGAATGAGCTAATACAGCCCTAGATCTGAGAACAGTCCAAAGCAGGGTGTTGAGAAGGTTCTGGTTTGTACCTTTGGGAGTCAATATTGGACCAGTGGTTTGGTTGTAATTTTGCTTATTGTAAGATTCTGGAATAAGTAGCTGAAGGCTCAGAAGGAGGAGCAGGGCAGGGGGCAAGAGTTTATGGACTGGTCCTAGGAAGGGCAGGTCTTTCTCCTGGCTTGTAACTCTTTCCTCTAAAAGGAGGAGCTATTCTAGATGCTCCTCAAGTTTTCTTCATGTTCTGGTGCTTTCTGATTAACATCTTCTGAACCATCTCATCCATGCTGTATTGAAGCCCAGAGAAGCCCTGGCAATTTGGTTTAATGCCTGTTTCTAGATCCAGATTTTTACTTGTTCTAGAGTACTGAGCAGAGCCTGGTATTGCTGAGATTGATCTAGATTAGGGGTTGACAATTTTTTTTTTTTCCTGGTAACAGTGAGAGGGTAGGCTTTGTAGGTCAAGAGGCAAAATTGGGCCTATTATATACCTTCCTATATAACAAACAAGGACACAAATTTCCATGTGTACTTTTGGAGACAGGGTCTTACTCTGTTGCCCGGGCTGGAGTGCAGTGGTGTAATCACAGCTCACTGGAGCCTTGAGCCCCACACCAGGCTCAAGCGATCCTCTCGCCTCAGCTCCCAGAGTAGCTGGCACTACAGGTGCATATCATCATGCCCAGATAATTTTTAAAATATTTTGATGGAGACAGGGTCTCACTGTGTTGTCCATGCTGGTCTTGAACTCCTAGGCTTGAGTGATTCTCTTGCCTCAGCTTCCTAAAGTGCTAGGATTATAGGCATGAGCCACCATGCCCAGACCATGTTTTTTATTGACATAAAAATATACCAATCATAATTGAATGAAATTTTTCTTTTGTAATACAGGTCTGTTAATGAGAAGAGAATTTTTTCAGGGGAAGGGGGAGATGACATTTTGCTTAATTGGGCATCAAAGTTAGTGTCTTTATCATTAAATCAATGGCAAATGTTCTCTTAGTGCTGATTTTTAATGTGATTTAATGTGTTTTGTCTTTGAAAATGTCTTCACACAGGTAGATACTGCCAAATAACAATATCAACTCATGAGCATATGATTTTAATTGAGCATATTTGTCACTGGGAAGGCATTTGTAGAATTCTATTAGATTCTTCTCTTGATTTCTGTGTTTCAGGATGTCATTACATTATAGATCAATCACTTCCAATTGAGGGGTGTGGAATTTCCTAACAAACCTCCTTGTTTCTCATCATTTAGGGATCACTATTTTTCCTTGTCCAGTGTCTTGAAGTTTGATGTTTCATGTATTTTGTCTATTTTTTGGTTGTTTTAGATGGGAGGGCGAATCCTGTTTCTGTTAGTCTATTATGGCCAGAAGTGGAAGTCACTCTTGTCTATTTATTTTTAATGGCCTCACCACTGGCTTCGCTACCTCTGATCTGTCTTTGCATTTACTGTCATTTTTCACTAGAACAACTAATATTGTTTCTCAACAGTTCTACCATATAGAGTTAGGGCAAGAAAAGAGAAAAAAAAGGAGAAAATAAAACAATAAAAGAGAAAGAACAAGTAAAAAACTTTTTCAATGGATGCTCCTACATCATTTCTTGTACTCACAGTCTGGTTTCTATATAGCAGCTTAGAGTACCTACATACCGTGAATCAGCTTTTGTTTCTTCCCTTCTCGGACTCCTCCAGTAACATGCAGTCACTCTGAAATAATACCCCTGCCCCTCACCATGTCCTGCCTGTCCTGCCTTGTCTAATTCTTGCCCTTGTGTTAGCCCTTGTCTTCTTTGGGCACACTCCATTCCAGCCCCATGGCTTGCCTGTTGCTTTTTGAATGCACTAAGCCTGTTGTGCTCACCTCAGGGCTTTTCTTGGTTGCTGTTTCCTGTGCCTATGATCTCTTCTTTCAGATGCTTGCATGGCTGGCTTCCTCAGATCATTCAAGTCTCTGTCCAAGGGTTACTTCTTCTGAGAGCCACCCTGATGACGTTATCTAAAATACCCGTAACCTCAACTTCAGAAACTCTTTAACTGGAAGCAACTAAACCACTTACACCTTCAGAGCTTGGGTATGACATATGTGATCCCTCCTCCCTGGAAATTGCTGTGACTTGTCTCTGAATGAATGTTTAGAAGCTGGAGCAGTGGTGGGAACGTGGTGGTTTGAAGGCATGCCCCTGACACTGACCTCCACTCTTCTCACTCTCTGGAGCAACACAACAAGCAGGGTGATTGTAGAGAGAGGGTCTGGCAGATGACCTTAGCCTTGCTGGGGAGGTAAGGTAGGCTCCATTTCTCCTGCACTGTGTGGCAGAGATGGTGCCCCTGTCCTTGGGTTCCTAAGCTCAGCATGAATAGTAGAACTTGGTGCTTCTGTAGGGTCTAAAATGCAGATGCTTTCTACATGTGGTGGTTTGGGCTTGCAGTCTTATTCCCAGGAGATCTTGAGCAGAACTGAAATGGTGGGCCAATCTGTCCCCGTCTGTAAGGTTCGAGAAAGACCACATCACCTTCCTGCCCTTGAAAAGAACAGCTCCCTCTTACTACCTGCTTCTTTGCCACACCTGTCCTGATTGGGTGCTGAGTAGCTTAAGAAGTCAGTAGGCAGAGATTTGTCCCAGCCCAGTTAGGGAAACATAGTACTTGAAAGAGAAAGAACAGGCACACCAGGCATTTTTTTTTTTTTTTTTTTTGAGACCAAGTCTCACTGTGTGACCCAGGCTGGAGTACAGTGGCCTGATCTCGGCTCACTGCAACCTCTGCCTCCTGGGTTTGAGTGATTCTTCTGCTTCAGCCTCCTGAATAGCTGAGACTACAGCTGCTCACCACCACGCCCAGCTAATTTTTGTATTTTTAGTAGAGACAGGGTTTCACCATGTTGGCCAGGCTGGTCTCAAACTCCTGACCTTGATGATCCGCCTGCCTTGACCTCCCAAAGTGCTGGGATTACAGGCATGAGCTGCCACACGCGGCCAGATCAGGCATTTCTTATGGAGGCAAAACAAATGGAAGAGACAGAAAAGAATTTTAACAAATATCGAAAACTCTATGGAGAAGGCAGTGGCTTTTTTGTTTGTTTGTTTGTTTGTTTGTTTGTTTGTTTCTGAAAGTCTAAAACTGAAGAGAATGGCCTCTGCTGGGGATAGCATTGGTGCTTTGAAAGGCAGTATGAAAGGGCACATTGAACCATTCAGAGCTGATGACAAAGACATGGAAACTTGAGAGGAAACAATAAGAAAGTACGAGTGGAGATCCAGGAGACCTCACATGCCAAGTGCTAAGAATTTTAGGAGGAGTAAAGAACAGATGGAGGAGGATTTCCAGTCGAGGAAATCATAGCGGTCATCTTCTGGTTGAACATGCTCTTTTCTGATACTGTACTCAAATGAGAATAAAAGAATTAAAAGACGTGAAACCACAAGGGCAGAAGCAAAGGGAAAGATGGCTAAAGCAGATGAATGTTGTTACCTTGTCTTTGTGTTTTGGAAGCTGAAAATTACCACGGACTCCGTGATTTAAGGCAGTGCTTGTTTATTAATCTGACAGTTTCCATGGGTCAGGAGTCTGGGCTTGTTATAACTGAATCCTCTGCTCACAACTCACATACTTGATGTCAAGGTGTTGGCTGGTGCTGAGATTCTCATTTGAGGCTTGAGGTTCTCTTCCAAGCTCGCTGATTCTTGACAGAATTCATTTTCTTGCAGTCTTTGACATCCTCACTTTCTTGCTGATATTTGGCTGGGGTTCACTCTCAGCTTCAGGAATCTGTCCTTTTTCTTCGTTGACAGTTTACTGCATACCTGTTTACTTTCTCTTGGTGGCCAGCAAGATTGCTTCTCATGTCCTGAGAAGCAGGGACTCATTCCCCTCATGCTTCAAACATCTTTGACTTCCTTCCTCTGCCATCAGTCAGAGAAAATGAGTTTTAAATGTCTCACTTGATTAGCTTAGGCTCACTCAGATAATCTATCTTTTTTTTTTTTTTTTTTTTTTTTTTGAGACGGAGTCTCGCTCTGTCGCCCAGGCTGGAGTGCAGTGGCGGGATCTTGGCTCACTGCAAGCTCCGCCTCCCGGGTTCACGCCATTCTCCTGCCTCAGCCTCCCAAGTAGCTGGGACTACAGGCGCCCGCCACTACGCCCGGCTAATTTTTTGTATTTTTAGTAGAGACGGGGTTTCACCGTTTTAGCCAGGATGGTCTCAATCTCCTGACCTCGTGATCCGCCCGCCTCGGCCTCCCAAAGTGGATAATCTATCTTAAGATTAATGGAATTGGGACTTTAATTATGTCTTCAAACTCACTTCCCAATACAGATGCTCCTTGATTTACAGTGAAGTTGCATTTCAGTAAACCCATCGTAAGTTGAAAATATCATGTCAAAAATGCATTTAATACCTCTAACCTACTGAACATCATAGCTTAGCCCAACCTACCTTACATGTGCTCAGAACACTTACATTAGCCTATAGTTGGGCAAAATCATCTAATGCAAAGCCAACTTTTTTTTTTTTGAGATGGAGTCTCGCTTTGTCGTGCAGGCTGGAGTGCAGTGGCGTGATCTTGGCTCACTGCAGCCTCTGTCTCCCAGATTCAAGTGATTCTCCTGCCTCAGCTTCCCGAGTAGCTGGGATTACAGGTGTGTGCTGCCATGCCTGACTACTGTTTGTATTTTTAGTAGAGATGGGGTTTCACCATGTTGGCCAGGCTGATCTCAAACTCCTGACCTCAAGTGATCCACCTGCCTTGGCCTCCCAAAGTGCTGGGATTACAGGTGTGAGCCACTGCACCCTGCCCACAAAGCCTGTTTTTATAATAAAGTGTGGAATATCTCATGTAATTTATTGAATACCACCCTGAAAGTGAAAACCAGAATGGTTGTACGAGTATTCCATATATGGTTTCTACTGAATATTGTTTTTGTACCATCGCAAACTAAAATATCATAAAATTGCAAGTTGAATTAATGTAAGTTGGGGACCAGCGGAAGTATCTAGATTGGTGTTTGAATGGCCAGGATGGTGGGGCTTTGGGGGCAGGGGGATCTTTAGCATTCTGCCAACCATCACAGTCCCCAGAATGGAGGGCTACACAGTTGTGGAAAGGCACAAGGAAGATGTCTGTACACAGCCATGGAGTCATCTACAAGACATTATTCTCCTGATAAGAGTCAGATGTAGAACAGTTATTCATAGCATACTATTAATACCTTTTGTCTAAGAAAGGGGGTGAAAACAGAGAAGATATGTGCCTTTACTAATATTTTACAAAAGACAGAATGGAAAGTTAAATAAATTAAAAAGAGTGATAGTTTACAGGATTAGAAACAGAATAAGGAAGGTGCAGGGCCAGGAATGAGCTATGCTTCTCTGAATGTACCTGCTTTATGGTCTAGACTTAAGAACCAGGCAAATGTTTTATATAATGTTAAAAATAAAAATGATAAAAATAAAGTGGTCTTTAAAAATTGAAAGCAATCTGTGTGTCAAGTTTGTGGTATGATTCCCCAGAGAAGAGATGTTTAAAGCGAATGCTTTTAAATTACAGTATTATGGCAGAATATTTCTATCATAATATATCTTAATCATAATATAATATATTTTAATCCCATTAAGAAACCTTAAACTGCATTCAGTGTTCTGGTTGTCAGTGTTAATATATGTATTGCCATTTGAAACTATTTTATATATATATATATATATATATGGTGTGTGTTTCTGTGTGTGTGTGTATATATGCTCTCTATGGTGTGTGTGTATATATATGCTCTCTCTATATATGGTGTATGTGTGTGTGTATATATATATATGTGGCCTGTATGGTATATATATGTCTCTATGGTGTGTTTGTATATATATCTATATATATATATATGGTCTCTCTCTATATATGGTGAGAAAACTAATAATCATGCTAATTCCAATAATAACCAGTATTAGTGTAAAATTAAATGTACAATTATAAAAATATAATTAAGTAAAATTCTCTCATCTTTAATTTGACTCAAAAGTGTTAGGATAAACTCATTTATTTTTCTATCTTTTTAAGGAAATTATATATTTCATGTATATATATATATATGCTCTATGGTGTGTGTGTGTATATATATGCTCTCTCTATATATGGTGTATGTGTGTGTGTGTATATATATATGTGGCCTCTATGGTATATATATGTCTCTCTGGTGTGTTTATATATATATCTATATATCTATATGTATATGGTCTCTATATATATGGTGAAGAAACTAATAATTATGCTAACTCCAATAATAACCAATATTATTAGTGTAAAATTAAATGTACAATTAGAAAAATATAATTAAGTAAAATTCTCTCTTCTTTAATTTGACTCAAAAGTGTTAGGATAAACTCATTTATTTTTCCATCTTTTTAAGGAAATTATATATTTCATAGTTTTATCTATGTGTATTAGTTTGCTTGGGCTGTCATAAGAGAGTACCACAGATCAGGCAACTTAAACAACATAAATTTATTTTCTCACAGTTCATCGGCTACAGATCCAAGATCAAGGTCCCGGCAGGTTTGGTTTCTGGTGAGGTCTTTCTTCTTGGCTTACATAGAGGGCTGTCTTCTGGATTAGACATCCCCCATATGACCTCATTTAGCCTTAATTACCCCCTTAAATCTCCAAATACAGCCCTATCTCCAAATACATACCTATCTTCAAATATAGTCACATTGAGGATTAGGGCTTCAACATGTGAATTTTGAGGGGAACAGAATTCAGTTTATAACACTAAGAAGCTAGTATTCAAGTTTTAATTTCTAAGTACCATTTTCTACTCAAATCATGGTCTGTTGTATAAATAGGTTCCAAGTCTCTGGCACAGCTTTACATTTAGGCCAGAAATGAACAAATTGAGGCTGGGACATGTCTTTCCTGAAAGCAAGGAAGTTATCAGAGACTTCTAAGGTCATGTTAAAAAGAATGCAGGAGCCAATGTGAAGGAGCTTCTACTGGCCAAAAGTGGAATTTTGAGAGTTCTTTATATATTTTAGACATGAGCCCACTGTCAGATATATGGTTTGCAAATTTTTTCTCTCTGTGTGTAGCTTGTCATCTTTTCTTAACAGGATATTTTACAGAACCAAAGTTTTGAATTTTAATGGGTTCACTTTATCAGTTTTTCCTTTGATGGTTTGTATTTTTGATGTCAAGTATAAGAACCCTGTCTAGAGTCCAAAGATTTTCTCTCTTGTTTTAAAAAATATTTTTTATGGTTATACACTTTTTTAAAAATTATACTTTAAGTTTTAGGGTACATGTGCACAACGTGCAGGTTTGTTACATATGTATACATGTGCCATGTTGGTGTGCTGCACCCATTAACTTGTCATTTAACATTAGGTATATCTCTTAATGCTATCCCTCCCCCCTCCCCCCACCCCACAACAGGCCCCGGTGTGTGATGTTCCCCTTCCTGTGTCCATGTGTTCTCATTGTTGAATTCCTACCTATGAGTGAGAATATGTGGTGTTTGGTTTTTTGTCCTTGCGATAGTTTGCTGAGAATGATGGTTTCCAGCTTCATCAATGTCCCTACAGAGGACATGAACTCATCATTTTTTATGGCTGCATAGTATTCCATGGTTATATGTTTATATTTAAGTTTGTGATCCATTTTGAGTTAATTTCCATATAAAATATAAGGTTTAGTTAGAGGTTTTCTTTTGGTTTTGGTTTTTGCCTGTGGATATTTAATTGCTCTGGTGTTACTTGTTGAAAAGGCTATCTTTCCTGCGTTGAATTACTTTTGTGTCTTGTCAAAAATCATTTGGACATACATGTGTGGGGCTACTTATGGGTTCTCTAAACTTTTCCATTGATCTGTGTGTCTGTCCCTTTATCAATACAACATTGTGTTGATTACTGTAATTAAGACTACTTGATCATAATAAGGCTTAATATTGGACAGAGTGAGTCCTCTCCTTTTATTCTTCTTTGTTAAGATTGTTTTAGCTGTTCTGGGACCTATATGCTTTTCCAGATAAGTTTTGGAATGAGCTTGTTCATATTTTCCAAAACCTTGCTGGGCTTGCATTAAACTAATGCATCAGTACAGGGATAGTTGATATATTTACTGTATGGTCTACTGATCCTTAAACGTGGTGTCTCCCTCCATTTATTTAGCTTTTTTAAAAACCTTCTTTCATTAGCATTCTATAATTTCATAATGTTTTGTTAAGTATATACCTAGTATTTCTTTTTGGAGGGGAGCAATTGTAAATGGTATTGCATCATTAATTTCAGTTTCCACATTTAACTGATGTGATTTTTGTGTTTCTTGATTTTATCTTCTACAACCTTACTAAACTCACTTATCAATTCTAGGTGTTTTTTGTTGTTGTTGTTTTTTGTTTTTGTTTTTGTTTTTTTTGCAGGTTCCAGGAGATTTTCTATATAGCCAATCATGTCATCTGTAAATGTGGACAGTTGTATTTTTTTCTCTCTTGTTTGTGTGCCCTTTATTTTTATTGCCTTATTTTAGTATCTAGAATTTCCAGTACTATGTTGAATAAGAGCAGTGAGAGCAGATGTTCTTGCTTTGTTTCTGGCCTTGTAGGGAAAGCATTTTTAGGCTTCCATGTTAAGGATAATGTTAACTCTAGATTTTTTGTAGATGTTCTTTATCAGTGGAGGAAGGTCACTCTGATTCCTATTCTTTATCTCCAATTTTCTTAGAGTTTTTTTTTCTTTCATCATGAATGGGTATTGGATTTTGTCAAATGCTTTTTCTCTATCAATTAATATGACATTATGATTTTTGTAGCTGTTGCTATAATACATTGCATTAATTGTTTTTCAAATTCTACAGCATTTGCATACCTGGAGTAATCTCACGTGGTCATAGTGTGATAAAGATAAGAGATTAGGAAAACTGCTGGGAGCAGTGGTTCACACCTGTAATCCCAGCACTTTGGGAGTTCAGGAGCTCCCAGCACTTGAGCTCAGGAGTTTGAGACCAGCCTGGGCAACATGGTGAGACCTCATCTCTGCAAAAAATACAAAATTAGCTGGGCGTGGTTACATGCACCTGTGATCCCATCTACTTGGGAGTCTGAGGTGAGAGGACTGCTTGAGCCTGGGAGGCAGAGGGGTTGCAATGAGCTGAGGTCATCCAACTGTACTCCAGCCTGGGCAACAGAGCAAGACTCTGTCTCAAAAAAAAAAAAAAAGATTAAGGATACTAAAATAAAAACATGAGTGTTTGGAGAGAAGACCAAATGGATAAACTGAATTGATATAGGAAAATAAGAGAATTCTGTAAGGTAGCTGAAAAAGCTGGCATTTTATACACTGAAGTCATAATTGCTGTCTTTTAGAAGTTAGAGATAATAAGAATTTGAGTTTAGAGTCAAAAGGGTCAGTCTCCATCAAATACTAATATCCTAATCAAATAATTACTTGGCTGAGTGTAGTGGCTCATGCCTGTAATCCCAGCACTTTGGGAGGCCAAGGTGGATGGATGACAAGGTCAGGAGATTGAGACCATCCTGGCTAACATGGTGAAACCACTGTCTCTACTAAAAATACAAAAAATTAGCCGGGCATGGTGGCGGGCTCCTGTAGTCCCAGCTACTTGGGAGGCCGAGGCAGGAGAATGGCATGAACCCAGGAGGTGGAGCTTGCAGTGAGCCGAGACCACGCCACTGCACTCCAGACTGGGCAACAGAGCGAGAGACTCCATCTCAAAATAATAATAATAATTATTATTATTTAACTTAACTTTACGATGCTCTAATAATCAAAATTGATAGTGGCTTGTGAACAGATAGATCACTTGAACAGATAGATCACTTGAATAGAATAGAGCCCAGAAATAAACCCAAATGCTTCTGGGGGAGTTTAGTATATTATAAACATGACATTTTAAATCAATGAGGAAAAGAAATCATTTGCAGCTCACCCTACCATACGCAGCAGGAATAGGAAGTCATTGGCAGAATAAAAAGATGGTAAGAACAGAACAGAATTATAGAACAGTACGTTTCTTCCTTCCCCACTTTTCAAAGTATTTTTTGCTTTTACACAAGTATAAGTGTAATTTTATTTTCTAAATGTATACTAATTGTTTTGTCTCTTTCTTAGATGAATGAAAAAAATTACACCTTTAGAAAAAGAGTTGTTAGAAAAAAGCCTTGGCTGCATGTAGGGGAAGTGACAGCACAGAAGAGACCAGAGAAGAGCCTCCTGGAGGAGAGCCTACGCTTTGACCATGCTGTCCGGATGGGTACGGTGCCCTCTTCTGCAGAGTGTTCATTTCTATGCTTTTTCTATGGTTCCATTTCATAGAAAGATTTGGGGTGATGTTTCTTTTCCCTCAACTTTTTATTTTAAAACTTGCAAACACAGAAAAGTTGATAAAATAATACAGTGAACATCGGTATGCTATTCAACTGGATTCACCAATTAAGGTTTTGTCATACTTGTTTTCTCTCCTCCGCATATGGAAGATTGTATATGTGCCCTTTTTCCCCCTGAATCATTTCAAAGTAAGTTACCAGTATCGTGGCATTTCACTGTTAAGTACTTTCACAGATATCTTCTAGGAACCAGGACATTCTCCTATATAATCACAATACCGTTAATCCACCCCAAAAATTTAACATCAATACACTAATGATACCTACTGTATAGATTATAATCAGCTTCCTTGCAGAATCTGTTTAGAAGGCTTGCATCCTGTCACTGTCCACTGATTAAATTTTGAACTCTAACTTGAAACCCTGGTCATCTCATTGCCTTCTTTCTTATACCCATTAAGTCAAAAGGAGCTCTCATTTTATTTCAATGGAAAACAGAATGGAAAAGAGGGGAAGAGTCCGTAGGTACCTTGGATAAAGTATGAGCACTTACTACCATATGTATTCTAGTTCTGTAGTTTTCAAACTTCAGGGAGCATTTCAAGGCTTATTAAAGCACAGATAGTTGTCCTTCTTCCCCACTTTCTGATTCAGGAGGTGTGGGGCTGGCCCAGGAATTTGCATGTCTAACAAGTTCCCACGTGTTTCTGATGCTGAGGGTCTAAGGACTACAATGCGTGAATCCGTGGTTTAGTGGATATCCACCTAATGAATACATGTTGTATTTCCTTTAGCACCTGTGATTACAGAGGAAACACCTTTCAACTGGAAGATATCATTAAGCAGAGGATAAGAGATCAGGACAGTAAGAATTAAATTTCACTTAATTGAAATGTCACTGAAATTTTTAGAAATAATATGATAGGCCTGGCACGGTGGCTCATGCCTGTAATCCCAGCACTTTGGGAGGCCAAGGCGGATGGATCACTTGAGGTCGGGAGTTCAAGACCAGGCTGTCCAAGATGGTAAAACCTCCTCTCTACTAAAAATACAAAAATTAGCTGGGCATGGTGGTGCATGCCTATAGTCCCAGCTACTTGGGAGGCTGAGGCAGGGGAATCGCTTGATCTCGGGAGATGGAGGTTGCAGTGAGCTGAGATGCACCACTGCACTCCAGCCTGGGTAACAGAGTGAGACTCCATCTCAAAATAAATAAATAAATAAATAAATAAATAAATAAATAAATAAATAAGATAAAAATAAAAATAAAGGGAAGATGGGGCAGCTTTGTGTACTGCATGTCCCGAAAATGGGCTGATTTCTCTCAAGAGGCAGGGATTTAAGCTCTCTAGCCTACATGGAATACATGGAGTAGAAAAAAGAAGAAAAAGAAAAGAAATGTAAATATAAATAAATGAAAATAACACTTCTCCCCGATTATAAAGGAAATCACTCTTTTTGTAATAATTTAGATGACAAAATATAAAGAAAAATCTTTAATTTTGCCACTGAAAACATTTTGGTTTGTTGCTTTTTACACTTTTTATGCATATAAACATTTTAAAAAGTAGAATCATAATATATGGTCTTTTGTCACTTACTATATTTTAAGCATGTTTCTATGGCAGAAATATATCCTGGCATCATCACTTTCAATAGCTGGATGTATGTTAAGTGAATCATTGCCACCCCAGAGGTGGATTTCCTTCTATATATATTTTAATGAACTCGAGTCAGGATTTTTGCACTGAATTCATACAAGTAGAATTTCTAGAGGAAAGTAATATAAAACAGTTTTAGGATTTTTAAAAGAAATGTTCAAATCATCCTATAGGAAAATTGGTTGAGTTTATACTCCCACCAACAGGGACAGAGCTCCAGGTTCCCCCTTCCATTTGTCATCTTCGCTGGTCTTTAAGCAGAAAATCTCATTGTTTTCATTATATTTCTTTGATTTCTAGTGCTTTTGAATCTTTTTCATATGCTCATTGGCTATTTTTATTCTTGTGGGAAGTGCCGGTTTCTCTACTGCCCATTTTCTGCTGGAAATCATTCATTTTTTTTTTCTGAGTAATTTTAAATTTTTCTTTATAGGCTAAGGATACAAACCTTTAATGTCATTGAGGTTACAAAGACTTTCTCCTCATAAGTAATTTGTCATTTCGCTTTATTTATTTATATTTTGCTAGCCAAGCACCAAAGTCACATTTCACTTAATTTTTATGTTGCTGAATGAAAACATTTTAACTTAATGATTTTACTGGAAAGAGGAGCAGGACAGAATGTAATATCTAGATCTTGCTCTGTCACCCCAACTGGAGTGGAGTGGCATGATCATAGCTACTGCAGCCTCAAACTTCTGGGCTCAAGTGATTTTCCCACCTCAGTCTCCCAAGTAGCTAGGACTACAGGTGTGTGACGCCATGCCCAGCTAATGTTTAATTTTTTTTTGTAGAGCTGTGAATTCGCTATGCTGCCCAGGCTGGTCTTGAACTCCTAACTTACTCCACCTTGGCTTGCCAATATGCTGGGAGTACAGGTGTGAACTACTGCTCGTGACTGAGAGCTTACTTTTGTTTGCTAGTGGTGTTCTTGGTATCTTTTTATATTTGAGGCTTTTGTGCTAGTGCTGAAGTATTATACTCACCATCTGAGGTTCACAGGACTTTTGTTTTTATTATATTTTTATTTTTTATTATTATGCTTTAGGTTTTAGGGTACATGTGCACAACGTGCAGGTTTGTTACATATGTATACATGTGCCATGTTGGTGTGCTGCACCCATTAACGGGTCATTTAGCATTGGGTATATCTCCTAATGCTATCCCTCCCCCCTCCCCCAACACCACAACAGTCCCCGGTGTGTGATGTTCCCCTTCCTGTGTCCATGTGTTCTCATTGTTGAATTCCCACCTATGAGAGAGAACATGCGGTGTTTGTTTTTTTTTTCCCTGCGATAGTTTGCTGAGAATGGTGGTTTCCAGCTTCATCCATGTCCCTACAAAGGACATGAACTCATCCTTTTTTATGGCTGCATAGTATTCCATGGTGTATGTGTGCCACATTTTCTTAATCCAGTCTATCATTGTTGGACATTTGGATTGGGTCCAAGTCTTTGCTATTGTGAATAGTGCCGCAATAAACATACGTGTGCATGTGTCTTTATAGCAGCACGATTTATAATCCTTTGGGTATATACCCAGTAATGGGATGGCTGGGTCAAATGGTATTTGTAGTTCTAGATCCCTGAGAAATCAGAGCCCGTAGCTGGTGGTCAAGATGAGGGAGAGGCCCTCAGGGTCAGCCGAATGCCTGAGAGGCCGGACAGGCCCAAAGGTGAGCAACGTGAGCACATCAGGTGGGCTCAGAGCTGGCGCATGAGCCCCACAGCCTGCAGAGCAGCCCTGTACTCGGGAGCCCGCTCGCACCAACCCAGCGGGACTTCAGAGATGTGGGGTCCAGCCTTTCCTACTATTGCTGGGCTGAGGGCTGGGAGCTGCAGATTCTGACCCCACAGCTGCCTTAGACATGCCAGATGGTCTGGGGCAAGACACACCCCTCTCTATGAAATGAGCAGCCAGTCCAAATAGGTACATTAGAGAAGGGCTGTGGGATGGACCCAGCTGTAGCCTGGGGCTACAGGCTGGCTTCCGGGGTACTCAAGCAGCTGGCCTCTGGGGTAGCAGCCCCAGGTATGAGAGGCAGGACTCAGAATCTAGGCCAAGCCTCCATAGGAATCCCCTCTGGAGAGCCCGGGCACTCTGCAGGAGGGGCAGCAGGCAGCAGGTGCACCAGGAGCATGTTTCACAAGGTGCCCAATATCGCATCTGCTCAGATAGGCAGCGAGTTGGAAAGTGGATGCAATAGGCAGGGTGGCGGCTGCTCCCCACAGCCAGGAGTCCGGCCCAGCACCCACCTGAGTCCGCCTCAGTCCTGCTCAATTGGGTTATCCGTGCTCTTGGCCCTCTGATCCCACCCACAGAGGGAGGTCTTTGGGGCGACCAGGTGAGCTGGCCCTTGTGGGAGGATGTAACTGACTCCTGAGCCTGGCGAGCCAGGCAGCCCCTCGCCAACGTCCCCACCCCTACCTCTCCAGCCCCCCCGCATTCCCTGATCCTCCCATCCGCTCCCCTGACCCAGCAGTTGCCTCTGCTCACTCTCTTTTCCTGCTCCCAGGCTCGCCTGGTCATGTGTCCTTCACTCTCCTCTGAGTCTCCCTCTTTCCAAGCCGCCTCCACTCTACTTGACACACTCTCCCTTAAGACACCAGAGTACACAAGCGCAAGTCCCTGCACCTCACCTTTACTCCCAGACATGGGAGGGAGATGACATGAAGACCCAAACGCCACTTAGCAGGAGATCTGGGGTATGCAGAGGGGCAGAACGGAGGCTGTGGAAGCTCCAGGGGCTCCCTGCAGGAGGCCACATGTAAGCTGGCTATTGAATGTGGCTCTGAGCTGAGACCTCTCCTTGAAGCTCCAGACCAGGAGCCAGCTGCTAGCTGGACCCCTCCATTTGGTGCCTCAGAGAAACTTTGCACTCTCTAGGTCTAACTTTGAACCCAGAAAATTCCCCCATGTCGGCCCTGTCTCTTCACAGGGAAAGCACCACCTCAGACCCAGTTCTGCACCAAACCCACATTTGAGTCACGAGGCTCCTGCCCTGCACTGTGAGCACTCTGGATAAGCCAGTGCTGAGGGGGAAAGAGCTCTGAATGCCAAGCCAAAACATGAGCTTCAACTCCACCTCCAGCTCTGAGAGCTGTGGGTAGGGAAGGGCCCTCGTCCAGTTTGCTGTAGAAAGATCAGTCTGCCACTGTATGGCACATGGATGGCAGGGGCAGAGTGCAGGTGGAGAGAATAGAAGGTGGGCAGGGCAGGGGAGGCAGGGACATGGCTGTAGCCGTGGAGATGGGAGGACAGACAGGACTTGGTGGCCACTTGGGTGAACCAAGGGAGGAGTCAGGAAGAGACACCCAGTTTTGTATCAGATGTGTAGAGCGTGGGATGCTGTTCATTGACGGAGGGAGGAGGAGGAGGAAGAGGTATGGCATGGGGAGGAGGTAGCTGAGCTCTGTCGTGAATGTCATTTGAAGTCCCCAGGGAGAGCCAGGCCGGCCAGCCCCTTCACTGCTTCAGCCAGCTCTCAGGGTGTCTGTGCTCCCTGGCCCTCTCAGCTCCTGCTTCATAGCTGTCAGCTGCAGTGGGAGACAGCTGCACAAGGGCCCAGCATGTCTGTGTGTTTACCCAGGGGACTGCCGCATGGCCCATGCCGAGCAGAAACTGATGGACGACCTTCTGAACAAAACCTGTTACAACAACCTGATCCGCCCAGCCACCAGCTCCTCACAGCTCATCTCCATCCAGACGGCGCTCTCCCTGGCCCAGTGCATCAGCGTGGTAGGTGCAGAGGGTACCTGTGGCTCAGGCTCAGGTGAAGAGGCAGCTCATGCCCAAGCCCTAAGCAGTCAATGTCCAGAGGAATGAAATGACTAGAGTTGACTTAGACTCACCGGTACACGGTGGGGAGGCTGGAGGAGGGTCCATGAGGTTTATAGGTGTCCAGTATTTAATGAGGTCATGGTTTTGTTAACAAAGAAGAAATGAGGGTGGGAGCGAGATCACCACTGGCTAGGCAGCCAATGGGCCTGCAGAGACTCTGCTCAGCTGAGTCTCCAGCACGACCATGAGCTTCTCATCCTGATCCTCCCATCCCCACCCTACTTTTCTCCCCCAGCTTGCTCAACAGGTGACCTTACAGGCTCCCTACTCTTTGCAGGGAATAAGAACCAGACTGGGGGAACTGACGGGTACAGAGGCCCAGGTGTAGGCGCAGGACCACAGGCAGTGAAGCGTCTACTGACCCAGGCGGGTGAGGGTCTGGAGAGTGGGCATGGCTGCTGCAGGCATGGAAAGCAGGCACAGATGGCGGCACTCCCAGGGCCCATTGTCAGGGTCTCCACATGTGGACGTGTGCAGAGGTGGGGGTGCTGAGGGAGGAGGGGCAGGGAATTTCTCATCTTCTCTCTACTGCCTCTGAGTTGGAGATGTCAGAGGGAGCCATGGCCCACTGTAAAGTAACACAATGTCCCCACCCACAGGATTAGAACCCCTCCCCTGGAAGCAGCTCTGAGGGGAACAGTCACATGTAGAGAGTGCAGGGCACTGTGTCCAGCCGGGGGAAGGAGGTCACCAAGGGGGTTGACCCCCCTCTGGCCAGGTGGCTGCCTTCTGACACACCAGCCTCTGTCTCTAGCACGGTGGCCCCCACACACCCAGCCTGTGAAACCTACAGCCCTCAAGAAGGCTTTGGCCAAATTAAGGAGCGGCTCCCTCTCCCAGGAGGAAGCACAGGTGAAGGATGTGGAGGGCAGTAGAGTTGTGTGTGCTCCGCCCCCTTTCTCCACAGTCGGATGGAAAGAAGGGGGCTTTCAGCCAGGCTCGCCCAGGCTGGGGTCTGAGTGTCACTGTCCAGCTATTGGCTTCTTGCTTAATGGGTGAGCCCAGCTGCTCCCGTGCAGCTGCCGCCCTAGTGAGGGTGAACCGGCAGGCGAGTTACATTTCTGAAAGCCTGGGAATACAGTAAATATTAGGCTGTGGGCTGCTGGGCCAGGAAGAGTTGTTTATTTTTCAGGGTTTGTTTATCTATTGACTTGATGAGGGAGGGTTATAGGTACAACCAGTTTAAAGATGGAAATTTTGAGAGAGCAGGCAGGGATTTAGTGCTGGGTAAGCCTGGTCAAAGCGGCTCTTTTGGGGCGGCCAGAATCCAGTACCAATGTCCTCAGCATGTTCATCAGCTGCTGGGGGAGTGCGGGACAGCATGAAAGCACAGGAGAACTTTCTGGATGATAGAAATACTCTGTATCTTCAAAGGAGGTGGGTTCCATAGTAATGTTAAATGAGTTAAAACTCATCAAAATGTAAACCAGACCTGTGCATTTCACTAATAGAAATTATACCTCCAATTAAAAACATGTTTTAAAAGACAGATGGGCCGGATGCAGTGGCTCATACTTGTAATCCCAGCACTTTGGGAGGCTGAGGCAGGTAGATCACCTGAGTCAGGAGCTCGAGACCAGCCTGGAAAACATGGTGACATCCTGCCTCTATTAAAGGTATAAAAAAAAATTAGCCAGGCATGGTGGCACACGCTACGCGGGAAGCTGAGGCAGGAGAATTGCTTGAACCCAGGAGGCAGAGGTTACAGTGAGCAGAGATCGTGCCATTGCACTAGAGCCTGGGCAACAGCGCAAGACTCCATCTCAACAACAACAAAAAAAGGACAGATGAAGGTTTTCAACTTTCAGTAAAGGCAGAGGAGCTTGTTACAGATTCGCCTCCCCACAAGAGCAGTTAGAAAAACTGGATAAAAATGTGCCCCGCCCCCAATCAAAAACAATTGTTGGAAGGTAATTGGAGACCTCAGTCAGGACTTGAGTGACCAGGCCTAGGAGGTGATCCTGACAGTCTGTAGTGCTTTCCCACATTTGGTGATTGGTCAACAGTAGAGGGCTAAGAGGCTAAGAAACTGAGTATGAAGTGGTAGTTAAGAGGCTGGAGAGCCTAGCTGAATGTTTGGCACTCTCACAGGGCTGAAATGACCTAATGAGAATTTGGGTCCCAGGAAGGAGATGGGACCTTGGTGGGGACCCTGGAAGGGCCACCCCTGGGAGTCCAAATGAATAAAACATAGACCAGCCATCAGAAAACCTAAAACCTGCTTTGAACCAGCTTAGTCCCAAAGTAGATGAAGGCGATCTGCCCTTACTCCAATTGTGTGCCATAAACTCAAAGTCAATACTCTCTGGAGGCAGATAAAAGTTTACTATGAATGTCAAAAGACAACACAAGACTAAATGAGAAAGACCAAGAAGAAAACTAATAGAAACATACATGTAAGGAAGAAACTTTTTTTTTTGAGACGGAGTTTCGCTCTGTCACCCAGGCTTGAGTGCAGTGGCACGATCTCAGCTCACTGCAACCTCTGCCTCCCAGGTTCAAGCGATTCTCCTGCCTCAGCCTCCCAAGTAGCTGGGATTACAGGCATGCGCCACCATGCCCGGCTAATTTTTGTATTGGCCAGGCTGGTCTTGAACTCTTGACCTCAGGTCATCCATTTACCTCGGCCTCCCAAATTGCTAGGATTACAGGCGTGAGCTACCATGCCTGGCCAGTATTTTGCCACAATTTAAAATAAATAAAATTTTTTTTTCAGGTTTGTGCTCAGACTATATTCTAAACAGTCACATGGCGGCTTACTCTTCTCCAGGCCTTGCTGCCGGCTTTTACATGTTTATTGTCTTTGCCTTCTTGTCATGTGCTCATTAGATGGCAGCTTCCAGGTGCTCCTAAGGGGCCAGGAAAGAGAGTGAGAAGGCACGGAGGTTGCCAGATCATCCCCCTTGGGGCCCCGCCCTCATCAACTCCCTCAACCGGGTCTCCTGCAACTATTGGTGGGCCATCTCGGCCACCGCTTCGCCCTGAGCTTCCTGCTGCTGCAGCTGGGCAGTGCCTCCTTCTCAGAGGCCAGCTGCTGATAGGCGGCCACGTACTGCTGCAGGTGACCCAGGTAATGGTCTCGCTGCTGCTGCAGACTCAGCCTCTTGGCTCTTCAGCTCCACCTGCAGGATAGGCGTCAGGGTAGGTAGTGGCTGGCTTCCAGATTCTGGGCCCATAAACAGGGTAGTGAGGGCACTGCGGGGCTCTGTCGCCTACCCAGGCCCCTGGCCCTGGCCCCTTCCTCCAGGCCTAAATGACTGCCTCCCTTGCCTAGAGGCCCATGCCTCCCTCCCCAGCCTCAAATCTCACACCCTTCTTCCCACCATTTAAACTGTAGGCCACAGACTGGTGGAAAAGCAGAGGGAGCCAACCACCATCTGCTAAGTTGTGGTGAGGTCGTTCTGTATGATCTCCAGGGTTTGCACACACCTCCGCCTGCTCCCCCCAAGAGCTCGGCCTTCTGCCCCAGCTTCCCCAGCCTCTCCTCCAGCTCCTGCAGCCTCACCTGGTGTTCCTGCATCTTCTCCTCCTGCTGCCGCAGCCTCACTTCCTGCTCCCACATCTTCTCCTCCTGCCTCCGCATCTTCTCCTCCTGTTCTTGCATCTTCTCTTCCTGCTCACACATCTTCTCCTCCTGCTCCCACATCTTCTCTTCCTGTTCCTGCATCATCTCCTCCTGCTCTCGTATCTTCTCCTCCTGCTCCCATATCTTCTCCTCCTGCTCTCGTATCTTCTCCTTCTGCTCCCGTATCTTCTCCTCCTGCTCCCTTATCTTCTCCTCCTGCCTCCGCATCTTCTCCTGTTCTTGCATCTTCTCTTCCTGCTCCCCCATCTTCTCTTCCTGTTCCTGCATCATCTCCTCCTGCTCTCGTATCTTCTCCTCCTGCTCCCGTATCTTCTCCTCCTGCTCCCTTATCTTCTCCTCCTGCCTCCACATCTTCTCCTCCTGCTCCCGTATCTTCTCCTCCTGGTCGTGCATCTTCTCCTCCTGCCTCCACACCTTCTCCTCCTGCTTCCGTATCTTCTCCTGCTCGTGCATCTTCTCCTTTTGCCTCCATATCTCCTCCTGCTCCCTTATCTTCTCCTCCTGCCTCCACATCTCCTCCTGCTCCTGCCTCTTCTCCTCCTCCCGTATCTTCTCCTGCTCGTGAATCTTCTCCTCCTGCCTCCACATCTTTTTCTCCTGCTCCCGTATCTTCTCTTCCTGCTCCCGTATCTTCTCCTCCTGCCTCCACATCTTCGCCTCCTGCTCCTGCCTCTTCTCCTGCTCGCGTATCTTCTCCTCCTCCTGCCTCTTCTCTTCCTGCTCCCGTATCTTCTCCTGCTCGTGCATCTTCTCTTCCAGCTCCCGTATCTTCTCCTCCTTCTCCCACATCATCTCCTCCAGCCTCCGCATCTTCTCCTCCTTCTCCCACATCATCTCCTCCTGCCTCCGCATCTTCTCCTCCTTCTCCCACATCATCTCCTCCTGCCTCCGCATCTTCTCCTCCTGCTCCCGTATCTTCTCCTCCTGCTCCCGTATCTTCTCCTCCTGCTCCTGTATCTTCTCCTCCCACTCCTGTATCTTCTCCTCCTGCCTCCACATCTTCTCCTCCTGTTGCTGGTTCAGGCGGTTCCACAACTCGTTCTCTTCCACCTGGGCTTGGAGCTTTGCTGACACACTCTGCAGCTCCTTACCCAGGTGGTCAGCCTCCGCCTGCAGCTGCTGCTGGAATAGTGAAAGTGTTTTTTTGAACCTCAGAAGGAAGCAGAATCATGAGCTAGCCACATAAATGTAATCTATAGGCTGGGAGCGGTGGCTCACGCCTGTAATCCCAGCACTTTGGGAGGCCGAGGTGGGCGGATCACGAGGTCAGGAGATCGAGACCATCCTGGTTAACACAGTGAAACCCCGTCTCTACTAAAAATACAAAAAAATTAGCCGGGTGTGGTGGTGGGCACCTGTAGTCCCAGCTACTTGGGAGGCTGAGGCAGGAGAATGGCGTGAAGCCGGGGGGTGGAGCTTGCAGTGAGCCGAGATTGCGCCACTGCACTCTGGCCTGGGTGACAGAGTGAGACTACTTCTCAAATAAATAAATAAATAAATAAATAAATAAATAAATAAATGTAATCTATAAAATAATGGTTTTCATCCATGATCCTTTAAAAAAATATTTTTAAGCCCTAACTCTTGAGATTCTGATTCCCCAGGCAGGGCCCCAATTTGTACATTTTTAGTACACTCTAGAGGATTCTATGGCGGGACCAGAACAAGGACCCAAATTTTCCAGCTCTTGGCTGGAGCCTCCCCATACCCTGCATGATCCCTAGACCATGGTCCCAGCTGGATGGGTCTCCCACAACCCCCGGGGCTGCAGCTGCTCACCTGTGGCAGCAGGAGCTTGGCCCTCTCCAGTTTCCTTTTTAGCTCCTTTACGTTGAGCTGGATCTCAGACTTTTCAGATTCTACAAGTTGAAGTTTTTCTTGTAGTTTGGCATTTTTCTCCTTCAGCTCCTCATCAGTTATGCTATGGCCAGAGGCAGTAGAGAAAGGAATGAATGAAGAACATAAAAGACCACTTTGGTGATTGACCCCCTACCCTCGCCCCACAACCACAGAACCGTGGCGCTGGAAGGGACCCCAGGAATTAAAAGTCCCAGGTGGCAGGCCAGAGAGAAGACATGAGTTGCCTGAGGCTACCCCATGAGTCAGTGGCACAGCCAGCACTAGAGCTTCCGTGTGCACACATGAAAACATGTATGAGCCTCTCCCCACACTCACCTGGACCCCCCACCTCCCAGCACACCACCCATGCTAAGGGCCCCCAGACCTCCCATTCCACCTTCCCCCATCCTACGTGTTCCTGTACAGTTCCAGACTCAGGGCGTCCCTCTCCTTTGTTAACTCCTCAATGTACTGCAAATAGAGAAAGGTTAAGTCAGGATAGAGCAGGCACAGCAGTAGCTGGACGACCAGGAACAACTGCTACAGTGACTACTCCACAGTAACACTTCCTCACTCTCAATCACACCTGACGTGTTCTCAAGGCATTTCCAAGCCCATGGTCTCATTTGTTTTTCTTTCTTTCTTTCTTTCTTTTTTTTTTTTTTTTTGGCAGAGTTTCATTCTTGTTGCCCTCACTGGAGTGCAATGGCACAATCTCAGCTCACCACAACCTACACCTCCTGGGTTCAAGCAATTCTCCTGCCTCAGCTTCCCGAGTAGTTGGGATTACAGGCATGTGCCACCACACCGGGCTAATTTTGTATTTTTAGTAGAGACGGGGTTTCTTCGTGTTGGTCAGTCTAGTCTTGAACTCCTGACCGCAGGTGATCCGCCCACCTCAGCCTCCCAAAGTGCTGGCATTACAGGCGTGAGCGAGAGCACCTGGCCCTCATTTGTTTTTCAAAGAACTCAGTGGATGTGGAAGGGACAGGGAAAGAGATTGAATTTAGAGCTGGCTAACAGGGGCCCAGAGCGATCAGATAATATTGTTATTGTTATTACTGTTAGTACTACCATTGTTCGAACCTTTCTTGAGTGCTTCACCAGGCACTATGCTAACAATCCCATTTAATCCTCACAACCTCCATAGGAGACGGTTACCATTATTACCTCTATTGTGTAGATGAAAAACATGCGGTATTAAAGGTTAAGTGCTGCCTAAGATCACTTGGAGCTGGGATTTCAACACCCAGGTATATCTGATTCTCTAAGCCCATTCTTCCGCTGGAGGTAGGGGCACAGTTAAGAAGGAGGAAATTAATCCTTTGTTGAATTTTTGAAAGGATGATACGTTCGCATAGTCCAAAACTCAGAAAGTCCAGAAGGGAAATATCTCCCCCCAACACTGTGCCTCTATCCTGAGTTTTTTAATGAATCCTTACAAACGTGTTTTATGTATGTTACCATAATACGTACACACACACACATATACACCTGCCCCCTCTCTCCACACAAATAATAACATACTCAAGATACTCTTCTGTACCTTTATGGTACAAGTACCCTAACCGCCACTTAGGACTTGGCCAAGGCCACAGCCAAATATGGGCAGGGCGGGCACTTGGCCTCTGAGCTCTATGTCCAGTGCTCGCTCCTCACAGTGCTCCCCAACTCACCCACAACAGCCGACTCAGCCCCAGTCTGCCTCTAACAACCACACACAAAAGCAGCAAGAAATGGCCATGCTGCCTTCTGGGCAGGACACTCCATCCTACAGAAGGGACCTTTAGGCTCACTCCTCCATCTGCGAAGCTGGGCTCCCAAGGGACGGGGCCGTGTTTGGACTCACCCTATCCGCCTTCTTCTTCTGTGTAGCGACAGCAGAGAGAGCCTGCTCTAACTCTCCTGCAAACTTCCATGAATCATGCAGGCGGCTGATCAGATCCCTGGCCTCTCCTGGAATGAGAGACATTCAGATGTGGCCCAAAGGACTCCCCCTAAAGGCCTGTCAAAGTGCCAGGTTGAAGGATGATGGGGTGCCAGATTCCCACCTTCCAACTGCTTGACAGCATGCTGGCTGTAGTAGAGTGCCATCTGAAGCTCAGTTTTCTGACATGTAAGGATTCGTATGGTATGAACCTGGGCCTTTGGGAGAAAAGACAAGCAAATGCTGAAAGAGAAGCAAAGAAACATTCTCCAGAGGGCAGGAGGGAACTTCACACCCTCCACTCACCTCTAGCTCCCTCCTTAGGGCTTCCTGATGTTGGTGGCTTGCCTTCTGTTCCTATAGAAAGAGGAAAACAGAGCTCTTACTAGGGGGAGGCAGAGATCCACAGCAAGAGACATGCCCCCAGAATGGCACCACTGCCCCAGAACAGGCCCACCCATGGGACCAGTTTATCAGGGACCCTGTGGGGATGGGGTGGAATCTTGGGGGTGAGCCTTCTTCCCCAGGCTGGGAGTGGGTGAGATGAGGCTGGGGCCTCTACATCTGAGTGCCCCCAAACCCAGCGGTCATGTCGTGAGCAAAGAAATCACACTACTTCTTCCAGCTGAGCTCGGTTCTATTGTTTCTGTGGGGAGAGTCAAAGGAAGGTGACTGAGGGTGGCCCCCTTGACTCTATTCCCCAGGCCAGGAAGCGATAGGCAGGGGCCAGGAATGGATTTAAAAGGCACAGTTCTCAGACCCAATGGGAACATGAACTGGTCAACTCTCCTCAACTCCCAAAGAAGAAGGATTTGGGTCTTTTTGGTTTTTGCCCACAGCCACAGAACTCAAAGTCTGAAACTAGATTCTCTTGAAAAGACAGTAACAGAAACCTTCAGAGGTGGAGTGCGAGAAAAGCCCACCCTTCCGCCAGCTTGTGATTTAGAAAGGTGCATTCACTCAGCAAACGTTGAGCACATACGGGCCAGGGACGGTTCTTCACAGCGGGAATAGAGGTCAGAAAAGGCAGACAGGAGCCCTTGGCCCCGAGGTTTCCATTCTAGTGGGCCTTTAACTCTCGGGCTCTCAGAGCTAACAGAAACCTCTGATACTCTCTAACTCTACCTCAGGAAACGCAAGCCCAAGAAGGAGAGTTTACAGCAGGTCCTGGACGAGGGATTAACATAAAAACACAATGACAAATCTCATTTAAACTTCACAAACGTAAGGAAAACAATACCACTCGTATTTTACGGATGTGAAAAGAGAGGCCCAAAGAGCTCAAGCAATTTGCGCTAAATCATGTCCCTAGCAGATGGAGGGGTAGGATTCAAACCCAGAATTCTTAGCCAGTACCTGGCAGTTCTTCCACAATCTTAACAATTACCCTCCACCACCCCTTGGGCCCTCTGTCCCCAGGAGCCCGGCCAGCCAAGACTCACATCCTCAGGCGAGTGGCAACCACCAGAAGTGGTTGTCTCAGGGTTAGTGCCATTATTTATTTTCTTCTTTTTGGTGTCGCTTGCTGCTGTACCAACACTAGGGTTGGTCTGGGGATGATGGTCTGTCAACTGTGGAAAGGAAGAGCAGTGATACTCATGAGAACTACAAGCTCCTACAGTCACATCCTGCTTTACAGTTTATACTAAATACTCTTATAGACCATCTGATTTAATGCCACCAACTGTAGGAAATGTTGTCACAATCACTTAGTGACTGAGAGAGATTGATACCATGGCTGAAAAAAAAGGCAGTAATGGAACTTAAACTCAGTCTTCTGACTCTGAGCTCTGGGATTTTGCCCTAAATCAGCAGCTGCCAGGGACCAAAACCAGAGGCAGAGGTAGAAAAGCAAATATTAAGTAGGCAGGAACTGTGCACTATGTGGTTTAGGGTTATTCACCCTCACACGTCTGTTAGTGTTAAAAAGTACACCAGTACCTCTCAAACCTTTACATCAATGTCTCCTCATGGCAGAAGGCAGCCTTTCTGCTAAATCTGGGAATTTAACAGAAAGAGGACAACCCAAGCCTCATTTCAGAGAGAAGTCTTGTATACGCTTATAAATCTACGTGACTTTCATCCCTAAGTACATTAATGTTTTGCCTCTCAATAGAATCAAGGGAAACTGATGCTTCAGAAAGATGCCCCATATTTATCCTGTGGCACTCAAAGTACCCCAGGTTGAGATGAGATGAGGAAGACTCAAGCTAAGTTCAGTTTCCCAAGATCTGTTCCACAGAAGATAAGCAGATCTCACTCCAGAACCAGTGACTGAGGGGCACTCTGGTCCCAGAACAATGGAGAATTCAAATCTGAGGTGCAGAACTGAGAAAAAATGTTAAAATCTCTCTGGAGAGTAGAAGCCTGGGAGAAAACCAAACCAAACCCGTTCTCCCATTGCCACCCAGAGACACTGTCAACGTGTTGAGCTCATGGGGGAGGTGTAGGCTTTTCACACTGTCAAGGTCTGTGGTAAGGAAGTCAGGCAGCCTGAAACCTCTCTCTTCTAGGTCCCACAGTCCCCATTCCCCTTCCAGCTGGAAACCTGTGCTGCAACCAGAGGAAACAGAAGTGGGCAAGAACACTTAGGGGACTGGGTCCTAAGACCAAAGGCCGGTCTTGTGGTAGTAATGACAGTTTGTAGCGGGACTGTGACATCACTACATTCTACTCCTCGGTGGAGTGGTTGGGGGGGACACATGAGTGCAATGCCCAAGTTGCCGCTTTGAGACTGGGGAGGGGGTCACAAAATTGGGAGCCAGGTCCTTGGAGACGTGACCCCAAAGAGCCCCGGGAGGTCAGGCTTGGGGCGGCAGGAGGTGAGGGCCAATTAAGGAGCAAGGAGCTCCAGGAGTCACATCCCCAAAGTCACCCTGTGGCAACTGGTGAGGGCAGGTTCTGGGGCACCCAGGTCCTTGGAGATGTGAGCTCAAGGAGCCCAGGGAGGTCGGGTTTGGGGTAGCAGGAGGTAAGGGCGGAGTATGGAGTTGGAAGCCCCAGGAGTCACCTGCTCAAAGTCACCCTGGTGTGCCGGGCAGAGCAGGGGCAGGACTTATGAGGGGGTTGGGCTGGCTGACAAGATTTTGGTGTGGGGAGCCCAGAGGCACTGGGGTGGGGGGCCCAGCCTGGTGTCCCTCAGGAGTGGCACAGACTCTGGCAGCAGTTCGGCTGTCAGAGGGGGCCTCGGGTTGGGTTGGGGTGTTGGTGCGTTTACCTGTTCCTTGGCCTCGGCCAATTTGCTCTGTCTGGTTTCTTTGGACATCATAGGATGGGTAGGGAGGTGGGGATGGGTAGGGAGGTGGGGATGGGTAGGGAGGTGGGGATGGGTAGGGAGGTGGGGATGGGTAGGGAGGTGGGGATGGGTAGGGAGGTGGGGATGGGTAGGGAGGTGGGGTTGGGGCCACATCAGCATGATCCAGGTGAGGACAAGTATATACCTCCAGTCACCTCTACGTCGCTGTGTGACTGAGCCAGAGGAGGCGTAACCAGGGCTGCACTAGAATGCAGAATAGGGGTGTGGCCTTCATGCTTGAAGCCCATTGGTCAATGAGAAAGATGAAAGGAAAAGGAGGTGTGGCCAGACAGCAGCGTGTCATCAAGGACCTGTGTTGTCACAAGGAAAGCTGCCTATGCAACCGCTGTCCCCGCCCACTCCAGGAGAGGGGCGGGGCTGGCTTTCACTTTAAAAACTTTAAAACTTTATTACCTCAATTGAGGTACAAGTCCTATTAAAATGGAAATTTTATAGTGTGCTTGATGATTGATAAAGCAGACTTTATTATCCAACATTCCAATAAGATAATCACAATGTTTTCTCTTTTTTGGAAAAACTTTCTCTTATTCTCCTACATTAGCGTTTAGTTTTTTTAAAAAAAACAAACAAACAAGAAACATGTCTAATATCTTTAAAAATACAAAGCTTTGAGCCAGGCGTGATGGCTCATGCCTGTAATCCCAGCACTTTGGGAGGCTGGGGCGGGTGGATCACCCGAATTCAGGAGTTCAAGACCAGCCTGGCCAACATGATGAAATCCTGTCTCTACTAAAAATACAAAAGTAGCTGGGCATGGTGGCAGGTGCCTGTAATCCTAGCTACTTGGGAGGCTGAGGCAGGAGAATCCCTTGAACCTGTGAGGCAGAGGTTGCAGTGAGCCAAAATCATGCCACTGCACTTCAGCCTGGGCTGCTACAGAATGTGACTCTGTCTCTAAATACACACACACACACACACACGCACAGACACACACACACACACACACACACACACACACAAGGCTTTCCATTTAATAAGCACTCAAAGTTCTTTACAAGGTTAAAGCAAATACAGGACCCTTCTAAAGTAAGGCTAAATGCTAAGTGATGGGGGAGAGAAAAAGGACATAAATAACTCCTACTCTCATGAGTTAATCACTAAATCCGATTTTTCTAGAATCACCTGGCCTCTAAGCCCTGAAAATGAAACTGAATTTCTCACTCGATACTTGGCTATGACTTGCAATCATGAAAACCAAGAATTGTGTTATGTCACTGTGTATTGCTTGTTACCTGGGATCAAGGGTTGACTTTTTCATGATTTGCTCCATTACCTGTGTGCTTCTTCTCCCAGTCCAAACTACGCTTTTTTCTAGAGTTCTACAATTTACAGTTAGTATGTAAGGGTGGCTCTCAAACATGTAGTCTCCGGACCAGGAGCACCTGGGAACTTCTTATAAATGTAAATTCTCAGGCCCCACCCTAGACACGAATGAATCAGAAACTCTGCAGTAGGGCCCAGCAATCCGTGCTGCAATAATCCCTCCAGGTGCTCAGGAACCTCTGCCATACAGCAGGTAGAAAAATGTGTTTCCTTCTGTAGGTCCAAAGCCAGGGATACTATATGTTCTGTCTCAATATGAAACAATGACATGCAATTAAAAGACATAAATCTCCTTCCTACTTCCACCCTCCAGCCAGTGTGTTTTATTTTTATGAGTTCAATAAGAAAACGTGTGGCAATCAGAGATTTCATCTAAAAAATATATCTACAGGTATCAGTTCTCATCCAGCCTGATCTCATCCAATATCATTTCTATCCTCTTACATCTAAAGTTTTAGAAAAGGATTTTCACAACGTAAGACTCAGGCGCACTAGGAGTTCTATGATAAAAGACCAAGTAGATCTGAATGTCCAAACTTACTAGAGAAGAAAAGTGGACTCATTGGCTATATTTTCAAATTGCATTCAACAGGAAATTAAAGTTTTGAATTTTTTCCACCTTCATCCTTCCAAGTTAATAGAATTAAACCAGAATACTCCATTCTTCCAAAGCCTGTAGCCAGGCAAACTTTTACTGTATTACTTCTTGCTTTTCAATGGATATAAAGCAGAGTCCTGGTAGGCACATTTTGTATACCTGCAAAGATGCAAAACTAAACAGTTCCCTCGGTTCAATATTAAAACAAAAGTCCTGTAAACCTCAGATGGTGAGTGTAATACTTCAGCACTAGCACGAAAGCCTCAAATATAAAAAGATACCAAGAACCTTGCTAGCAAACCAAAGTAAGCTCTTGGCCGGGAGCAGTAGTTCACGCCCGTACTCCCAGCATATTGGCAAGCTAAGGTGGGGTAAGTCAGGAGTTAAAGACCAGCCTGGGCAGCATAGCGAATTCATATCTCTACAAAGAAAATTTAAAAATTAGCTGGGCTTGGCGGCACACACCTGTAGTCCTAGAGCTACTTGGGAGGCTGAGGTGGGAAAATCACTTGAGCCCAGAAGTTTGAGGCTGCAGTAGCTATGATCATGCCACTGCACTCCAGTTGGGGTGACAGAGCGAGATCTAATTATTACATTCTGTCCTGCTCCTGTTTCCACTAAAATCACTAACTTAAAATGTGTTCATTCAGCAGGATAAAAATTAAGTGAAATTTGACTTTGGTGCTTTGCTAGCAAAAAATAAATAAATAAAGTGAAGTGACAAATTACTTACTGGGAGAAGATCTTTGTAACCTCAATGACAGATTAAAGGTTTGTAGCCTTAGCCTATAAAGAAATCTTTAAAATTACTCAGAAAAAAAAATGAATGATTTGCAGCAGAAAATGGGCAATGGAGAAACCAGCACTTCCCACAAGAATAAAAATGGCCAATGAGCAAATGAAAAAGATTCAAAAGCACTAGAAATCAAAGAAAGGTAATGAAAACAATGAGATTTTCTGCTTAAAGACCAGCGAAGATGACAAATGGAAGGGGGAACCTGGAGCTCTGTCCCTGTTGGTGGGAGCATAAACTCAACCAATTTTCCTGTAGGATGATTTGAACATTTCTTTTAAAAATCCTAAAACTGTTTTATATTACTTTCCTCTAGAAATTCTACTTCTATGAATTCAGTGCAAAAATCCTGACTCGAGTCCATTAAAATATATATAGAAGGAAATCCACCTCTGGGGTGGCAATGACTCACTTAACATACATCCAGTGATGATGCCAGGGTATATTTCTCCATAGAAACATGCTTAAAATATAGTAAGTGACAAAAGACCATGTATTGTGATTCTACTTTTTAAAATGTTTACAGCATAAAAAGTGTGAAAAGCAACAAACCGGAATGTTTTGAGTGGCAAAATTAAAGATTTTTCTTTACATTTTGTCATCCAAATTATTACAAAAACAATGTGATTTCCTTTATAATCATGGAAAAGTGTTATTTTCATTTATTTATATTTACATTTCTTTTCTTTTTCTTCTTTTTTCTCCTGTATGTATCCCACATAGGCTACAGAGCTTAAATCCCTGCCTCTTGAGAGAAATCAGCCCATTTTCAGGACATGCAATACACAAAGCTGCCCCATCTTCCCTTTATTTTTATTTTTATCTTATTTATTTATTTATTTATTTATTTATTTATTTATTTATTTATGTTGAGATGGAGTCTCACTCTGTTGCCCAGGCTGGAGTGCGGTGGCGCATCTCAGCTCACTGCAACCTCCATATCCCGAGATCAAGCGATTCCCCTGCCTCAGCCTCCCGAGTACCTGGGACTATAGGCATGCACCACCATGCCCAGCTAATTTTTGTATTTTTAGTAGAGAGGAAGTTTTACCATCTTGGACAGGCTGGTCTCGAACTCCTGACCTCAAGTGATCCGTCTGCCTTGGCCTCCCAAAGTGCTGGGATTACAGGCATGAGCCACTGTGCCTGGCCTGTCATATTATTTCTAAACATTTGAGTGACATTTCAATTAAGTGAAATTTAATTCTTACTGACCTGATCTCTTATCCTCTGTTTAATGATACCTTCCAGTTGAAAGGTGTTTCCTCTGTAATCACGGGTGCCAAAGGAAATACAACATGTATTCATTAGGTGGATCCACTAAACCACGGATTCACGCATTGTAGTCCTTACACCCTCAGCATCAGAAACACGTGGGAACTTGTTAGACATGCAAATTCCTGGGCCAGCCCCACACCTCCTGAATCAGAAAGTGGGGAAGGACAGCTATCTGTGCTTTAATAAGCCTTGAGATGCTCCCTGAAGTTTGAAAACTACAGAACTAGAATACATATGGTAGTAAGTGCTCATACTTTATCCAAGGTACTAGGGACTCTTCCCCTCTTTTCCATTCTCTTTTCTGTTGAAATAAAATGAGAGCTCCTTTTGACTTAATGGGTATAAGAAAGAAGGCAATGAGATGACCAGGGTTTCAAGTTAGAGTTCAAAATTTAATCAGTGGACAGTGACAGGATGCAAGCCTTCTAAACAGATTGCTGCAAGGAAGCTGATTATAATCTATACAGTAGGTATCATTAGTGTATTGATGTTAAATTTTGGGGGTGGATTAATGGTATTGTGATTATATAGGAGAAGTCCTGGTTCCTAGAAGATATCTGCGAAAGTACTTAACAGTGAAATGCTCTGATACTGCCAACTTACTTTGAAATGATTCAGGGGGAAAAAGGGCACATATACAATCTTCCATACGCAGAAGACAGAAAACAAGTGTGACAAAACATTAACTAGTGAATCCAGTTGAATAGCATACAGATGTTCACTGTATGATTTTATCAACTTTTCTGTGTTTGCAAGTTTTCAAAATAAAAGTTGAGGGAAAGAAACATCACCCCAAATCTTTCTATGAAATGGGACCACAGAAAAAGCAGAGAAGTGAACACTTTGCAGAAAAGAGCACTGCACCCATCCGGACAGCATGGTCAAAGTGCAGGCTCTCCTCCAGGAGGCTCTTCTCTGGTCTCTTCTGTGCTGTCACTTCCCCCACATGCAGCCAAGGCTTTTTTCTAACAACTCTTTTTCTAAAGATGTAATTTTTGTCATTCATCTAAGAAAGAGAAGAAAAGAATTAGTATACATTTAGAAAATAAAATTACACTTACATTTGTGAAAAAGCAAAAAATACTTTGAAAAGTGGGGAAGCGAGAAATGTACTGTTCTACAATTCTGTTCTGTTCTTACCATCTTTTTATTCTGCCAATGACTTCCTATTCCTGCTGTGTATGGTGGGGTGAGCTGCAAATGATTTCTTTTCCTCATTGATTTAAAATGTCATGTTTATAATGTACCAAACTCCCCCAGAAGCATTTGGGTTTATTTCTGGGCTCTATTCTATTCAAGTAATCTATCTGTTCACAAGCCACTATCAATTTTGATTATTGGAGCATCCTAAAGTTAAGTAATTGTTGTTTTTGTTTTTGAGATGCAGTCTCTCACTCTGCCGCCCAGCTGGACTGCAGTGGCGTGATCTAGGCTCACTGCAAGCTCCACCTCCCGGGTTCATGGCATTCTCCTGCCTCAGCCTCCCGAGTAGCTGGGACTACAGGCACCTGCCACCACGCCTGGCTAATTTTTTGTATGTTTAGTGGAGATGGGGTTTCACCTTGTTAGCCAGGATGGTCTCGATCTCCTGACCTCGTGATCCGCCTGCCTCGGCCTCCCAAAGTGCTGGGATTACAGGCGTGAGCCACCGCGCCTGGCCCTGAATTTGCTTGAGTTTTTAGCTCTCTCACCCATTTCAGGATTGTCACCACCCATATCTGACACGTCCTCCTCCTCCTCTAAATCTTCTAAGTCCTCCTGGCCATCAGCCTCTGTTTCTGAACCAGCCTCTTCATGCTCCTGTTCTTCACTCTCTGGGAGAAGACTGATATCTTCATCTTTCTTTCACTAACCGCATTCTGGAAGCACTGTAAAATTGCTTCATTTTGCAATTCCAGTTGTTGCAAAGTCTGCTCATCATCAAAACTTTCTATCACAAGTTTTTGTAAAGAGCTGCCATGGATTCTACCATTCTCTACTGTTTTATTAAAGTCATAAAGCACTTTCGTTAAAGAAGTGAACTTTGGTTCCAATCCAGCTTGAAACCTATTGGGAGGAATTAAATGAGATTTAGAATTATAGATAATAATTTCACAGCCCTCTTAATTAAAAGAAAAATAAAAACCTCAACTCTTCTGTAAAATCAAATTTGAATAAAGTGTAAGTATAGATTCTGGCCCCAACAATATATAAGCTGATGAGCCACAATGATATATAAAACCTGTCAACCAAGTATTTGTGAATCAGCTGTATAGATTGTTGGCAGGAAAAGCATTACAAATCTATTTGCTTGGAGATGTATAGAGAATTAGCCTTAAATTTTCTACTCTGCTACATTATATACCACTCCATTCATTCATTCCCTTATTCACTCAATGATCAACATTTGCTTTGGCTTACAGTGGTCAAGGAAAACCTCTCCTAGATGTGACATCTGAGGTGAAACTTACAGACAAGTATAGTCTTATAAAGATTGGGAAACATGTATTCCAGGCAGAAGAAACAGCAAGAACAAATTCTCTAAGATGCAATTGAGCTTGGTAAGCCTGAGGAATAAAAAAGTGAGCATGGCTATAGCGTGAAGGAGGCAGAAGGTGAAGTCGGAGAGACTGATGGGAGCCAAATTCTGCAGGGCTCAAGGGTAAGAGTTTGCCGTTTTAAGTGTAATAAGAAAATGTGAGAAGATTTTAAGCAGAAGGATGAAATGATGATTTATACGAAGGAAGAAGAAAGGGAGGAAGGAGGAGGAGGAAAGTAGAGTGATTAGAAGGTTGATGCAGCATTCCAGGCAAAGGATGATGGTGATTTAAGCTGGAGTTAGAGCAGTGAATATGCTGAGTACAGTTTGGAGGTAGAACTGACAGGATTGCTAAGGAATTAGATACAGAATAGAGAAAAGTGAAGACATCAAAATAGCAGCCTAGTTTTATGTGCGAGCAACTGGAGAGACAGAACTGCCATTTACTGCGATAGGCAAGGCTTGAGTGGTGGAGCAAGGGGAAAGGACTTCAGCGGATGGCAGAGTGTAGGTGGGTAGAAACAACATTCTACTGTATTTTGGACACGGTGAATTTGTGATGCTGAGAGGACCAAAATTTAAAAAATTGTTAAAAGCCGTACGGTGCGGATATCCCAGTTGTGCGCTACTGAATTCCAACTAAGCTCAGTCTGGAGTTGCTTGTGAGCAAGGAACTCAAGGGAGAGGTTGGAGTTTGAAACATAAATGAGTCATAATTTTATAGGTCATATTTGAAGTTCTTCAACAAAATACACATAAAACGTTTGTGTTGGGAAGAGACATGAAAGTTCTAATTCTCAAGAAGCTTAGTGGGGTAGACAGACAAGTGACAAGTTTGTGCTTTCAATAAAGTATGATGGCAGGTAAACACTGAGTGCTTTAGGAGCACAGGCGGAAGGAGAAACCAACACAGTTGTGTGTAGGGGGATGGGGGCCGTAATAAGCCTCAAGGGGAGCTTATAGGCGTGAATAACTGAGGTTAGGTTGATTTCAATAACATTCAACTGAGAGATCCATACTGTAAAAGTTTTAACAATTTTTAAAATTTTGATAGCCTAGGTCCTCTGAAATGTGGGGAAAAGTGATTTACATTTCCCCTTACCTTCCCCCAGCTCCACAATTTGCCAGGGGTCTGCAACCCGTGTCCACGTGCGACCGCAGTCGCACCCGAGCCCGGGATCTGTGCACTTACGTGAGGATGCACTCGGGCCAGCCAGTGGCTTTGCCCACCTCCCTCAGACACCGCTCCAGGGTCCGTCAGCGCCAGGCCCATGGGCCATGGCTGTCTGCAACTCCCGACACAAGCTGCAAGGCAAGAGAGCCGCTGGGAAACCGCACCGCAAGGATGCTGGGATTGGAACAGGAATTAAAAGAAATGAAAAAATGTGTAAGCAAAAACTCAGCTGTATGTAAAAAAAACCCAATTCCCCCTGAGAATGAGAAAGAGCCTTAGTCCTTTAAAAAAACTACCTGTTTTCCTATGGCTAGTGAGCCTTATCGCTCCCTTCCCAGGCATTATCAAAACCCTAATTCCCTAACTGTGCAACTGCAAGGTCACTAAACAAACAAATGCAAGTCACAAAACATATTTTTCCTAAAAACGTAAAAAAAAAAAAAACATAATGCGTGCTTCAATTAAATAACTCTCTGTTTCTCGCTTCTGTAATATGCTTCCCCCTGCACAGATCTACCCGGGCTCCACAAAATGCTAAAAGATAACTCTTTATTCAGCTCAACGCTTTGATCTGCCTGGCGTGGTGGCTCACTCTTGTGATCCCAGGACTTTGGACGGCCAAGTAGGGTGGATCGCTTGTGCCTTGGAGTTCCAGACAGGCCTGGGCAACATGGTGAAACCTGGTCTTTTTGTTTTGTCTTGTTTTGAGACGGAGTTTCGCTCTTGTTGCCCAGGCTGGAATGCAGTGGCTGGGTCTCTGCTTGCCGCGACTTCCGCCTCCCGGGTTTCGGTCGTTGTCCTGCATCAGCCTCCAGAGTGGCTGGGATTGCAGGCATAAGCCACCAAGCCCGGCTAATTTTGTATTTTTTTTTTATTTTTATTTTGGTACAGATGGGGTTTCTCCCTGTTGGTCAGGCTGGTCTCAAACTCCCGACCTCAGGTGATCCACCTGCCTAGGCCTCCCGAGGTGCTAGGATTGCAGGCTTGAGCCACCGCTCCCGGCCCAACTTATTAATCAGAAAGGAATAGATCGTCCTGGTGTGGTGGCTCACGCTTGTGATCCCAGTACTTCGGATGGCCCAGCGCGGGGTATCCCTTGAGCCTAGGAGTTCCAGACCTGCCTGGGCAACATGGTGAAACCCGGTCTCTCTCTCTCTCTCTCTCTCTTTTTTTTTTTGAGGCGGAGTTTCGCTCTTGTTGCCCAGGGTGGAGTGCAGTGGCTGGGTCTCCGCTCGCAGCGACTTCTGCCTCCAGGGTTTTAGTAGTTCTCCTGCCTCAGTCTCCGGAGTGGCTGGGATTGCAGGCCTGACCAACATTGCTCTGCTAATTTTTTTTTATTTGTTTTTGGTAGAGACGGGGTTTCTCCATGCTGGGCAAGCTGATCTCAAACTCCAGACCTCAGGTTATCCGCCCACCTCGGCCTCCGGGGATGCTGGAATTGCAGGCGTGAGCCAGCGCACACACCCAATTTATTTTTATTTCATTTTTTATTTTTATATATATATACTTTTGAGACGGAGTCTCACTTTGTCACCCAGGCTGGAGTGCAGTGGTGCGCTGTCTCGGCTCACTGCAACCTCTGCCTCCCAGGTTCAAGCGATTCTCCTGCCTCAGCCGCCTGAGTAGCTGAGATTACAGGCACCCGCTAGCACACCCATCTAATTTTTTTTTTTTTTTTTTTTTTTTTTTGGATTTTTAGTAGAGATGGGTTTTCATCATGTTGGCCAGGCTGGTCTCGAACTCCGGACCTCAGGTAAACCCACCTCGGCCTCCCAAAGTGCTGGGATGACAGGAAGGATCGGCCTGGCGTGGTGGCTCACGCTTTTGATCCCAGGAGTTTGGACCGGCCGAGCGTGGCGGATCCCTTGATCCTAGGAGTTCTAGACCAGCCTGGGCAACATGGTGAAAACCGGTCTCTCTCTCTCTCTCTTTTTTTTTTTTGAGGCGTAGTTTCCCTCTTGTTGCAGGGCTGGAGTGCAGTGGTGCGGTGTCGGCTCCCCGCGGCCTCTGCCTCTGGGTTTGGGTGGTTCTCCTGCCTCAGCCTCCGAGTGACTGGGATTGCAGGCGGGAGCCACCATGCCCGGCTCTTTTTTTTTTTTTTTTTTTTTTCTGGTAGAGACAGGTCTCTCCATGTTGGTCAGGCTGGTCTCAAACTCCCGACCTCAGGTGATCCGCCCGCCACGGCCTCCCGGGGTGCTGGGACTGCAGGCGTGAGCCACCGCTCCCGGCCCAATTTATTAATCAGAAAGAAATAGATCAGCCTGGCGTGGTGGCTCACGCTTTCGATCCCAGGACTTTGGACAACCGAGCGTGGGGAATTGCTTGAGCCTAAGAGTTCCAGACCTGCCTGGGCAACATGGTGAAAATCTGTCTCTTATTATTATTATTTTTTTTTTTTTTGAGGCGGAGTTTCCTTCTTGTTGCCCAGGCTGGAGTGCAGTGGCTGGGTCTCCGCTCGCGGCAAATTCTGCATCCCGGGTTTTGGTGGTTCTCCTGCCTCAGCCTCCTGAGTAGCTGGGATTACAGGCGCCTGCCGCCACACCCGGCTAATTTTTTTTTTTGTATTTTTAGTAGAGACGGGTTTTCATCATGTTGGCCAGGCTGGTCTCAAATTCCTGACCTCCGGTGATCCACCCACCTCCGCCTCCCCAAGTGCTGGGATGACAGGCGTGATCGGCCTGGCGTGGTGGTTCACGCTTTTGATTCCAGGACTTTGGACTGGCCAAGCGTGGGGGATTGCTTGAGCCTAGGAGTTCCAGACCGGCCTGGGCAACATGGTTAAACCCAGTCTTTTTTTAAATTCCTTTATTATTATTATTATTATTATTATTTTTTTGAGACGGAGTCTCTCTGTCGCCCAGGCTGGAGTGCAGTGGCGCTATCTCGGCTCACTGCAGCCTCTGCCTCCCAGGGTCAAGGGATTCTCCTGCCTCAGCCTCCTGAGTAGCTGGGATTACAGGCGCCCACCACCACTCCCGGCTAATTTTTTTTTATTTTTTAGTAGATCGTGGTAACTGCCTTAAAATGATGATTGTTCAGAAAGTCAGTTTAATTTAGATACTAAGGATATTGAGGTTATGTAACATTTGAGCAAGTTCTAAAAAAAAAGAGAAATAGTATATTTAATTGCTAATAAAGTATTGTCAACTCACAAATATATTCACATAGCATACATTTCAAGAGCAGAATAACCATGAATATAAAAGGAATTAGCAAAAACGAAACAAAAAAGACATGAAGAAATAAAAACAGATGGAACAAATAGCACAAAATACGATGAAAGTTATAAAAGAAACTATGCCAACAATCACAATAAATGTAAATAGACTGAATAATTAAGAGAAAATGACTATAAAACAGAATTAGGGCACGCGTGGTGGCTCATGCCTGTAATCCCAGCACTTTGGGAGGATGAGGCAGGCGGAGGGATCACAAGGTCAGGAGTTCGAGAGCAGCCTGACCAACATGGTGAAACCCCATCTCTGCTAATACAAAAATTAGCCGGCGTGGTGGTGAACATCTGTAATCCCAGTTACTCAGGAGGCTGAGGCAGGAGAATCGCTTGAATCCAGGAGGCAGAGGTTGCAGTGCCGAGATCACACCATTACACTCCAGCCTGGGCAACAGAGCAAGACTCCGTATCAAAAAAAAAAAACACACAAAAAAACACAAAAAACAGAAAATAAACAGTATGAAAAGACATCTAAAACATAAAGTCACAGAAAGACTGAGAGAGATTGAAAAAAGATACACCTGTCATATGTACCTAACCCAAAGAAGGGTTGGAAGCTATATTATTATCAGATAAAATAGGCTTTGGGCAAAAAGCAATATGGGAGATTTTTTAAGGCCACAATATAATGATAAAAATTCTAATAAACCAAGGGAGAAGGTAATCTAAAATGTTAATGTATCTAATAACTAGCACTCAAAATACATGAAAGCAAAATATGACAAAATTGCAACCCTCAGAGGGCAATTTAAATACATATCTCAGTGTCTGATAAAAGAGACAAAAAACAATCAGCATAGACATAGAAGATTTACATCTCTCTAGAAAATTAACAAGCTTGACTTAATGTACAGAAAAAACATATCTCTCCAAAGTGACAGCATTCACCCCCCCAAGTACATATGTACTGAGCCATAAGGAAAATCTCAACAAATTCCAAAGAAGCGGAATCATGCACCCATCTTTCTCTCTAACCATAATCTCATTAAACTAAAAACAATAATAAAAAGATAAAGTAAAAAGCCAGAAAGGCAGATGCTAAATGAGAAAGTGACAGAAAAGTTACAGATTTTGTTAAGCATACAAAGCTTCTATGGGGTAAAGCAGTCAAAGGGATATGCAAATTTACACAGAAATCCAACCGATATAAATCCTTGAAAGATACTACATACAGATATTTCATCAGTTCTCACATGCCAAACCCAGCAAAGCCAAACTTTGGAGCCTCCCCTGCGAGCAGACCTGCCACAGGAGGAGAGGCAGCACAAACCTCCCTTTGCAGTGAAAATGCCACATTGTGTGTGCTTCTTACCCCATCACCTCTTTGGAAGTGGCCCCACTCAGCGCTAGCTGAGAATCGCTTCCCTCATACCACTCTCAGTAGTTCACCCCAAGACACACGGGACAACTCTGTACCTGGTAAGTCATTGTGAATCCAATTAATAATGGCATTCAGAAAGTTAGGAATCTTTGAATTATTAGATTCATAGTGATATTCAAAAGAAAGAAAACGACATCATTTCTGTTCCACGCATGTTGCCCACATTCACTGCGTAAAAGGCAAAGGGAACTGTGAGTACCCACAAAGAACCTGATATTGACGGCACATACATTTCTTCATTAGGAAGAATAAATTTAGACTGTAACAATTTAAAAAACCAGAAAATACAACTGTACATTTTAGTTCTTATTAAAATCCAAGAGGTTTAACTTATTTGCTCCTTGTTTAGGTAATTAGTGTCTAAAACATTTCAAAGATAACATATATAGTGGCTACGATTTCTAGTACTTTTTAAAAATTCAAGCCCAGTCTCTTCTAATTAAATGTATAAATGATTTATCTCTGTCTTTCTTAAAAAGAACCAAGAGCCCCAATTAAAAAGTAAAACTTAAATTTCCTCTTAAAAAATTGTTACGTCAAAATTATCGAATAAACCATAGTTCAGAAAATAATTTCTGAATTAAGAAAATATGAATAATAAAACCAACAGTTTATGTGCTGAATTTCACATTTTTATTTTTTATTATTTTTAAAATTTTGTTTTAAGTTCTAGGGTACATGTGCAGGAGTGTTACGTAGGGAAACGTGTGCCATGGTGGTTTGGTCCACCTATCAACTCATCACCTCAGTGTTAAGCCCAGCACGCATTAGCTATTTTTCCTGATGCTCCTCCCCCACCCGCCCTGACAGGCCCCAGTATGTGTTGTTTCCCTTCCTGTGTCCATGTGTTCTCACTGAACCTCACATTTTTAAATACAGCATATGCCAGGTGTCATTTCAGTACCCATAATTATACATAGTATAATTATACATAGTATATGTATATGTGTAAATATATGTATATGTGTACATATATGTATGTAATATGTGTATGTAAATATTATGTAAATATGTATGTATGTAAATATATATGTAAATATGTATGTGAATGTATGTAAATATATACACATGTAAATATGTATGTAAAAATATGTACGTAAATATATGTATGTAAATATATGTATATATAAATGTAAAATATGTAAATATTTGTAAATGTAAAATATGTAAATGTAAAATAAATGTAGAATGTCAAATGTAAATGTAAAATGTAAAATAAATGTAAAATGTAAATGTAAAATATGTAAATATATGTATATGTGTAAATATATATGTGTAAATATATATGTATATGTGTAAATATATATGTGTAAATATATATGTATATGTGTAATATATATGTATATGTGTAAATATATATGTATATATAACAGAGCATACAGCATATGCCAGGTGTCATTTCAGTACCCATAATTATACATAGTATAATTATACATAGTATAATTAGACTACTATGTTACCTAAAAAATGTTGATTAGATACAAATGTATAAATTTATCTTCTCTAAACGTGGAAATTCTCTAGAGGCTATTTCCAGCTTCTGTGTGGATTGTAGAGCAGGCTGCTACCTGTACCCCAAAAATGAACACCTTAAAAAAAAGACAACTTTCTCAGCCTCCCTATTGCACACACATATGAAAAATATGTTAAATTCAACGCCAAATATTCCTGAGATCAACACAGCAGTGATCCCAAAGAGAAAATTTCTCTTTGCTAATGGGCACAAACTTGAAGGGCAAAGCAGTGGAAGGGTAAGTCTGCAGACTCGCGTGGGGCTCAAGTCAGAATCACGTGGAAGATCATTGCCACATGTTTTTGTTTTTTTAAATAGCAAACACCACCAAGTGGAGCCCGCCGGGTTTAGTAGATATTAAACCTCTAAGGAGTGGCACATCCGAGACTGAAATTCCCATCTTTTGATTCCCAGCTCAAGGTCTCTGAAATGCCAGCACCAGCTGTGAAATTGTTCTTCTGCATTTTCATGGAGACCTTTTCTTCTATACTGCCATACTCTTTTTTTTGGAACAGTTATACCTGATCTTCCTATTTTTGTGTGTGTTCCACCGAAACTTTTTCACTCTAAATACTTCCCTCTTTCCAACTGAGCATTTACATCTGTAACAAGGACAAAAACATCTAACATCTCTCTCACCCTTGGTTTGTGTTTTGTTTTGTTTGTTTTTGAGACAGGGTCTTGCTCTGTCACCCAGGCTGGAGTGCAGTGGCGTGATCACCGTTCACTGCAGCCTCGAGCTCCTGAGCTGAAGCAATTTTCCCACCTCAACCTCTGAGTAGCTGAGACTATAGGTGTGTGCCACCACGCCTGGCTAATATGTGTATTTTTTGTAGAGATGAGTTTTTGCCATGTTGCCCAGGCTGGTATTGAACTCCTGGCTTAAGTGATCCTCCTGCCTAGGCTTCCCAAAGTGCTGGGAGGAATTACAGGTATGAGCCACCGTGCCTGGCCTCACCATTGTTAAAATTATGGAAATCGTGTTTGCAAAGCAGGTTGGCCTGTTTGGAAAAGGGTGTCATAATTTCTCAGGTAACTCCAAAAAGAGAAAGCTACGAAAATTACCTTAATACATTCATTACAGTCTCAGTATAAGATTATAGCTTCCTCTCCCAAAGCGTAACCACAACCTGACGCAGGATGAGTTGGTTTGAAAATACCGCATACAATATCCTCTTGAGTAGAATCATAATTTAGAACTCTAAAAATGACCGGAAACAAAACTGTCCAAGTTTGTTTAACGTAATGTGTTTCAACTTATTTGACTAGAAAACCCTTCATTCGTGCAACACTTATAAATATCCCATGGCAAATCTAGTTTTCTATGAATAATGAACGAAACATTTATAATTTAAAACTAAAATTGTCTTCTAAGCAGAGATCTACGTATCAATAAAATGAAGAAATAAAATTTCCATACTGTTTTCTTCCCAATACAAGGATTAGAAGGAAAGGGAAAAGAGTAACAGCGAGAATCAATAGCCCATGTCTGGCCAGGCTCCATGGCTCAATCACACCTGTAATCCCAGCAATTTCAGAAGCTGAGGCGGGAGGATCACTGGCCTTTAGTGATCCTTGAATGAAACTCCATCTCTAAAAAATTAAAAATATTAGCTTAGAGAATCATTTGGGCCCAGGAGTTTGAGGCTGTATTGAACTATGACTATGCTACTGCATTCCAGCCTGGGCAACAGGCTGCTTAAACCTGGAGGGGCAGAGCTTGCAGTGAGCCGAGATCACGCCACTGCACTCCAGCCTGGGCAAAGGAGCCAGACTCCGTGGCAAAAAAAAAAAAAAAAAAAGAGATTCTATTCACAATAGCAACAAAACCCTGAGAATATATCTAGCAAAGTATACACAGGCCTTTCATGAAGAGTATTGCCATAGCCTGAATGTGTCTCCCAAAATTCATGTATTAAAACTTAATTCCCAAGATGATAGTACTAAGAAGTGGGGCCTTTAAGAAGTGATTAAGACATAAGGGTGAGCCCTCATGCATGAGATTAGTGCCTTCCTTATAAAAGGGCTTGTGGGTGGTGGTAAATCTGTCCCTTCTGCCTCATGAGAACATAGCATTTGCCTGCTCCAGAGGAAGCAGCATTCAACGTACCATCTTGGAAGCAGAGACCAGGCCCTCACTAGACACTGTGTCTGCTGGAGTCTTGATCTTGTTCTTCCCAACCTCCAGAACTGAGAAAATAAACTTCTGCTCTGTGTAAATTACCCAGTCTCAGGTGTTTTGTTATGGCACTATGAAGGGACTAAGACAAATATAAAAATTACCCAGGGACTTAAAGGGAGAACTGACTAAACTGAAATATATGCCATATATATTATGAATCGTAGGACTCAATGCTATAAACATACTACTTCTCAACAAATTAATCTATAAATTCAAGAAATTCCTACACAAATCCCAATAGAATTTTTTTGTGGAACTCGAGAGGCTGATCCTAAAATTCATACAGTCACTTGAGGGGCCAAGAATAGTGTAACAGGGCTGGCGGGGCTGGTGGCTCACACCTGTAGTCCCAGTACTTTGGGAAGTCAAGACTGGAGGATGGTTTGAACCCAGGAGTTCAAGACCAGCCTAGGCAACATAGCAAGATGTTGTCTCAAAATATTAAAAATAAATAAATAAATAAATAAAAAGAAGGTTAAGTATGCACATTTTGTTGTGAATTTCAATTTTATAGTGATTTTTTTTTTTTTGAGACAGGGTCTTGCTCTGTCACCCAGGCTGGAGTGCAGTGGTGCCATCTTGGTTCACTGCAACCTCTGCCTGGGCTCAAGCAATCCTCCCGCCTCACTCTCTGGAGTAGCTGGGACCACAGTTATGTGCCACCACACCTGACTAATTTTTATATATTTTTTTTGTAGAGACGGGGTTTTTCCATGTTGCCCAGGTTGTTCTCAAACTCATCCACCTGCCTTGGCCTCCGCAAGTGAGATCACAGACATGGGCCACTGTGCCCGGTCTAGTGCGCTTTTTTTTTTTTTTTTTTAACCAAACAAACGATGAAGTCTCAGGAGTAAAAGTTGATACACAAGTAAATTTTATTGGTAATGTTTTTGTGTGGTCTTTAAGCAGAGGGAAAATTAGTCTGCATTATGGTGTATCCAGACTAAATAACTGATATTAAAATGAAATTATCCTTAGGATTTGCAATCTTAGAGAAAACTTTTTCATTTTTTTTGAGTTACAAATTATCTTCACTTACATTTGAGAACAGTGAGTCACAGAGGGATTAAGTATCTTACTCAAGATCTTGCAAGTGTTTGGTTTGAACCCAATCTTTTCACTCTGCAGAACTCAGAGTCACTCTTATTTGGAAACTTTTTAACTGATGTGGATCCTCTAATATGGGCTTCCTATTATTCATTCCGTATTAGTCAGAAGTTTTGCAAGCAGGCAGAATTCATTTTGCCAATTACGGGATTTTCCCTCAGTTGCAGTCAAGGTTCATAAAACTATAACTATAAATTTTGTTTTTGAGACAAAGTCTTGCTCTGTTGCTCAGACTGGGATCCAGTGGCACAGTAACAGCCCATTGCAGCTTTGAACTCCTGGGCTCAAGGGATCCTCCGCCTCAGCCTCCCAAGTATCTGGGACTACAAGTGCATGCCATCATCCCTGGCTAATTTTGTTTAAAAAAAAAAATTGTAGAGATAGGGTCTTGCTTCGTTGCCCAGGCTGGTCTCAAACTCCTGGCCTCAAGCAAGCCTTCAGCCTTGGTCTCCCAAAGTGCTGAGATTACAGGTGTCAGCCATTGCACCTGGCCAAAACTGTAACTATATATACACACACACATAACTACATATATATGTGTGTGTGTATGTATGTGTGTGTGTATATATATTTTTATATATAAATAGATATATCTGAAAGGCATCAAAAGAAAAAAGCTGTAACTTTTAGTCTTGATCTTGATAGTGACTTGATTAGGCTATCTGTTTAACATCAAAGATGCAAATTAATGCTTTCTTTGGGTGAGCATATTAAAAATGCAGAAAATATTGGAGTAGTTTTTTATGTTAAATAAATTGTATTCTGTGTATTTAAGGTATACAACATGATTTTGTGGGATGCATATAGATGGTTAAAAAAATTACTACAGTGAAGCAAATTAACGTATCCTTCAACTCAGATAGTTACCCGTTTTCTTTTTGTTTGGTGGCAAGAGGAGCTTAAAATCTCATTTAGCGTGAATCCCAATACAGCACAATTTTATTACCTATATTTCTCGCGTTGTACATTATATTTCTAGGCTTGTTCATCCTACATATCTGCTACTGTGTAACCTCTAAGCTATGTCCACCCATTTTCTCTCTTGCCCCCCAAGTAATTTCCTAAAGTGTCTCATATAAAAAGGCAGTAGCTTTCAGCTTAAACTTTTTCTCTGTATATATTTAAGTCAATTTCTTTGAGGTATGTTTTTCTCTCCAGAATAGTTAGATGTAGGCATACCACTTTAATGTTGACACTAGTTCACCTAGAACTTATCTTCTGCAAATCTGTCTCTATGTCCATCTCTGTCTCCATCTTTGTCTCTATCTTTATCTCTGTCTATCTATCTATCCATCCATCCATCCATCCATCCATCTATCTATCTATCCATCTATCTGTCTATCTAACTAAAGCAAATTCATGCCCTTCTCCTATTTATGGAATCGAGACCATAAACAGAGGTGAGGGAAAGAATTTGGCAGGAATTGCGATGTGTATTACCTGTGGCATAAGGAAACTTTACAGAACTAGGGTCAAAAGTATACTTTCTAGTTCTTTCCCATGGCTTTTCACTTTGATGTAGTCCTTATCAGGCAACTGAGGTTTTATATAAGTCCCCTGATTCTTAGAACATGAAGGTGTAGTATTCAAGTTTGGTCCCTTGAAAGCACAATTTTTGTTAAAAAAATTTAAGAAAATTGTATGATTTCCTCAGCAAATACATATTGATCATCTGTTATACAGCCATGAGAAGTGGTTCTGTTGAACACGTTTATTTTATCAGATCCCAATTCTAAACCAGGCATAGAATGGAAACCATGAAGGTAGGATGAAATAACTTCTGAATGTTTGAAAATAGTGTACTTAAAAATAAATATCAGGTGTTTTTGTTTTGTTTTTTGTTTTTTGTTTTTGAGACAGGGTCTCACTCTGTCACCCAGGCTGGAGTGTGATGGTGCCATCTCACCTCATTGCAGCCTTGACCTCCCAGGCTCGGGTGATCTCCCACCTCAGCCTCCCAAGTAGCTGGGACTACAGGCACATGCCACCATGCCCAGCTAATTTTTTGTATTTTTTGTAGAGACAGGGTTTCACCATGTTGCCCAGGCTGGTCTAGAACTCCTGGGCTTAAGCGATCTTCCCACCTCAGCCTCCCAAAGTGCCAGGATTACAGGCATGAGCCACCATGCCTGGCTGAAAATACCAGGTTTTTAAGTATCAGCACTGCCTCTTCAATCTTTTCTATTACTATGTTGTGCTCAGTGGTATTTTTTATTGAATTAGAGCAGTGCTGTTCAATGGAACCTTCTTTGAGGATGGAAATCTTTTATGTCTCTGCTGTGTGGGTATGGTATTAGCTGGGTATGGGGCACCTGCCTATAGTCCCAGCTACTCAAGAGGCTGAGGTGGGAGGATCACTTGAGCCCAGGAGGCCGAGTCTGCAGGTTCGTACCACTGCAATTCAGCCTGTGTGACAGAATGAGACTCAGTCGCAGAATAAAATGAAATAAGGAAATAAAAATGTAATTGTTGAAATAAGAAACTAGTGGATGGATTAGACACGAGAAGAAAGAATTAATTGTTTAGGCGATTCTCTCCAAAAAGTAAGTCAGCATGTCACACAGAGAGACATGAGGATAGATGATAGGGCAGAAGTTGGTGGGCTTGGAGGGGAGAGGAAGATCAGAATGAGGTCCAAAATGTGTCTTAGTGAAATCCCAGGAGGAGATATTAAAATTATATTAGAAAGTGAAAGAAATAGAAGTTTTATTTATTTATTTATTTATTTATTTTGAGAAGGAGTCTCGCTCTGTAGCCCAGGCTCGAGTGCAGTGGCACGATCTGAGCTCACTGCAAGCTCCACCTCCTGGGTTCACGCCATTCTCCTGCCTCAGCTTCCCAAGTAGCTGGGACTACAGGCACCCACCACCACGCCTGGCTAATTTTTTGTATTTTTAGTAGAGATGTGGTTTCACCTTTTTAGTCAGGATGGTCTCAATCTCCTGACCTCATGATCCACCAGCCTCAGGCTCCTAAAGTGCTGGAATTATACGCATAAGCCACTGCACCCGGCCCAAAAGCTTTGTGTTTTTACAAATATTACACATGTTTCTTGTTTAAGAAAAAAAGTCTTCACAATAACGTAGGAGAATAAGAGAAACATTTTTCCAAAAAAGAGAAGTCATTGTGATTATTTTATCTTATTGGAATGTTGGATAATACAGTCTGCTTCAGTAATCATCAAGCATGCTATGGATTTTCCATTTTCATAGGATCTGTATCTCGGTTAAGGTAATACTGGTAATTTTTGTACTCTATGAAAAATATAGGCCAAAATCATAGACCTTGCATAGAAGCTGGATCATGAAGACAGCTCTGGAGGAACACACAGGTACACACACACAGACACACATATATATAAAGTATACACATATATATTTTTTAAAAGCTTTTAAAGCAAAAGCCGGCCCTGCCCCTCTCCCAGAGTTGGCGGCCTCTCCCCTCTCTTAGAGTGGGTGGGGACAGTGGTTGCATGGGCAGCTTTCCTTGTGAGCCAAAGGTCCCTCTGGACACATGATGCCTGGCCACGCCCCCTTTCCCTTTCATCTTTCTCATTAACCAATGGGCTTGGAGCATTAAGGCCACGCCCCTATTCTGCCTTCTACTGCATCCCTGGTTACGCCTCCTCTGGCTCAGTCGCACAGCTACCTGGTAGGTGACTGGAGGTGTTGATCAGTGCTTGGTGGGATTTTGCTGATGTGGCCCCAAGCCCGCCTCCCTCCCCACCCTGCAATGGCAGAAGAAACTCGACAAAGTAAATTGGCAGCAGCCAAGAGAAAGGTAAAAACACACCAGGTCACGGACCCCCAACCCAGCCATAGATCCTCTCCAACGACAAGACTGCTGCCAGAGTCCATACCAATCCCGAGGTTCACCGGACTGGGACCCCCACACCGGTGCCTCTGGGCTACCCCCACCAAAGTTTTGCCAGTCAGCCCCACCCCTTCAGCAAGCAGCCCAGTCTCTGCCCTCACCAATCACCCCAGGGTGACTTTGGGCAGGTGAATCCTGGGGCTCCCCGCTCCTTTACTGGGCCCTCATCTCCTGCCACCCCAAGCTTGACCTCCCAGGGCTTTTTGGGCTCACATCTCCAAGGACCTGGGTCCCACAGCCCCAGACCCCACCCTCACCAGTCATCCCTGGGTGACTTTAGGCTGGTGAATCCTGGGGCTCCCTGCTGCTGACTCTTCCCTTCCCTCCTGCTGCCTCAAGGTGGACCTCCCTAGGCTGTGTGCACTGGCGTCTCCAAGGACCTGGGTCCCAGCTCTGTTTTTCCCTCCCCTATCATGGAGCGGTGACTCGGACATCATGCTGATGTGGTCCCTCCCCCTCACCAGGAAGAGTGGAATGTAGTGATGTCATGGTCCATCCAGTAACTGTCATTACTGCGAGACTGGCCTTTGATCTTATGACCCAGTCCCCTAAGCATTGCCACCCCATTTCTGGTTCCTCTTGTCACAGCACAAATTTCCAGCTGGAAGGGGAATGGAGATTGGGACCTAGGAGCAAGAGGTTTCAGGCTGCCTCACTCCCTTAACACAAACATTGACAGCGGGAAAAGCCTACACTTCCCCTGTGAGCTCAAAACATTGACAGTACCTCTGGATGGCAACTGGAGAATGGGTTTGACTTGGTTTGGTTTTCTCCCAGGCTTCTACTTTCCAGAGAGATTTTAACAAATTTTTTGTGAGTTCTCCACCTCACATTCTAATTCTCCATGGTTCTGGGACCAGACTGCCCTTCAGTCAGTGGTCTGTGAAGTGAGATTTGCTCATCTTCTGTGGAATAGATCTTGGGAAACTGAACTTGACAGCTTGAATCTTCCTCATATTATGTAAACCTGGGGTACTTTGAGTGCCACAGGATACATATGGGACATCTTTCTGAAGCATCAGTTTCCATTGATTCTCTTGAGATCAAGAGAAAAAACATTAATGTACTTAGGGATGACAGTCACATAGGTTTCTAAGAGTATACCAGACCTCTCTCTGAAATGAGGCTTGGGTTGTCCTCTTTCTGATAAATTCCCAGATTTAACAGAAAGGCTGCCTTCTGCCATGAGGATACATTGATATAAGAGTTTGAGAGGTACTGGTGCACTTCTTCACACTAACAGACGTGTGAGGATGTATGACTCTAAACCACATGGCATACAGTTCCTGCCTACTTAATGTTTACTTTTCTACCTCTGCCTCTGGTTTTGGTCCCTGGCAGCTGCTGATTCTTGGTAATACCCCAGAGTTTGGAGTCAGAAGACTGAGTTTCAAAGTTCGTCTGTCGCCTTTTTCTTTTCTTCTTTTTTTTTCTAGCCATGATATCAATCTCTTTGAGTCACTAAATGATTGTGACAACACCTTGTACAGTTGTTGGTGTCATTAAATCAGATGGTGTATAAGAGTATTTTATAAAAACTGTAAAGGAGGATGTGGCTGCAGGGGCTGATAGTTCTCATGAGTATTACTGCTCTTGTTTCTGACAGTTAAAAGAATATTGGCAGAGAAACAGCCCTGGTGTTCCAGCAGGAGCCAAGAGGAACAGGAAAACAAATGGCAGCATCCATGAGACAGCCACTTCTGGTGGTTGCCACTCACCTGGAGATGTGAGTCTTGGCTGACTAGGTTCCTGGGGACAGGGGACCCAAGGGGCACTAGAGGGTAATTGTTAAGATTGTGGATGGACTGTTGGGTACCTGTGAAGAATTCTGGGTTTGAATCCTGCCTCTTTGTCTGCTAGGGATATGAATTAGGGCAAGTTGCTTGACCTCATCGGGCCTCTCTTTTCACATCTGTATAATAGAGGTGGTATTGTTTCACTTCCATTTGTGAAGTTTAAATGAGATTTGTTATTGTTGTTTTTATGTTAATCCCTAGTACATGGCCTGCTGTAAACACCCAGAACACCCAGGATATGGTCATTGCTGTTCGATTTTCCTCATCCCCAGTCTCAAGGGGAAGCCAGGACAATGAGAACAGTCACTTGGCACAGGAGTCACTGAAAGGGCCGCAGGGTGCTGTGGTGGGGAGATAAGAACCATGAGAGAAGTTGGCACAAAGGAGTTATGGGACAAAGGGTCCAAGATAGGCAGAAAAGAAAATTGTGCCAGTTGATGGGGAAGAAAAGAAGTCAGAGGGCTTAGATACTGAGTGGGACAGAACATCTTCATGTGCACTCTCATCTCTTGTAGTCAGCAACAGGTATCCACGGGGAGAGCCCTACATCATCTGCTACCCTGAAGGATCTGGAGGTAAGAGGCTCTGGGCAGAGGTGCAGTGACCCTGCAGGGCAGCCCTCCAACCTCCTCCTCCAGGTGGGACGGGGTGCCCCTCTGCCAGCTGAGACAGTCCACACACACCCCAGCCCTAATGATTGCTCTCTCTACCTCTCCCCCCACTCCTCCTCCACCTCCTCCTCTCTGCATGCGCCTCAGAGCCCGTGCCAAGAACTAGCAGTAGTCCCAGACTCGAGGTCCGTAAAAGTCAGTCAACTGAAGAACACCATCAAATCTTTGGTAAGAGTCCACTGGGGTCCCCTGATTCCACGCTGCCAATCCTGGGCTCTAGTTTCCCCTTGGGGCCCTGAAGAAAGGGGACGGCGGCCCCTGGTGCCAAGGGCGAATAGGGAGCTGGGGCGCCCAGGCCTCACCTGGAGGGACCCCGGAGCATGCAGCATGGCTCTTTTTTTGCTGCCCTGTTTGCTGACTCTCCCCTCTCCAGACGTCCCTGCTCGAGTCCTTGCTACACACGCCCTGGGATTGTTGCCTCTTGGGGAAGTGCTAGCCTGACTGGTTGTCAGGGGCCCTGTATTTCTGCCATGACTCAGTCCCTAATTTGCTCTTTGATTCTGGACAAGCCACCTCTCCTTTTTGGGCTCGTGTTTCCAGAGGAAGTAGTGAGTATCATAGGTCTCTGTTAGCTCTGAGAGTCTGAGATTTAAAGGCCTCCTAGAATGGAAACCTCAGGGCCAAAGGCTCCTGTCTGTCCTTTTCCGCCCTAAATCTGCTGTGAAGAACCGTACTTGGCCCGTACGTGCTCAGTAAATGTTTATTGAATGAATGCACTTTTCTAAATCACAAGCTGGCAGAAGGGGGGGCCTTTCTCAAACTCCATCTCTAGAGGTTTATGTTACTGTCCTGTCAAGAGATTCCAGATTCAGACCTTGAGTTCTGTGGCTGTGGACAAAAGCCAACAAAGACCCAAATCCTCTGTCCTTGGGAGCTTGAGGAGAGTTTACCAGTTCGTGTTCCCACTGGGTCTGAGAACTTTGCCTTTAAAATCCATTCCTGGTCCCTGCCTACCACTTCCTGCTCTGGGGAATAGAGTTGAGGGGGCCACCCTCCATCACCTTAATGTGACTCTCCCCACAGAAACAACAGAAGAAACAAGTGGAACATCAGCTGGAAGAAGTAACATGATTTCTTTGTTTGCTCGCGACATGACTGCTCGGTTTGGGGGACACTCAGATGTAGAGGCCCCGAGTCTCGTCTCACCCACTCCCAGCCTGGGGAAGAAGGCTCACCCCCCAGAGTCCACCCCATCCCCCACAGGGTCCCTGATAACCCGGTCCCATGGGTGGGCCTGTCCCGGGGCAGGGGCAGTGGTGGCATTCTGGGGACATGTCTCTTGCAGTACCATCTCTGCCTCCGCCTGGTTAGATCTCTGTCTTCCACTTCCTACAGGAAAAGAAAGCAAACAACGAGAAACAGAAAGCCGAAAGGGAGCTAGAGGTGAGTGGACGGTGTGCAGTTTTCTCCTGTCCTCCGGAGAATGTTTCTTTCCTTCTCTTTCAGCACTTGCTTGGCTTTTCTCCCAAAGGTTCAAATCCAGAGATTGAACATACAGAAAGGGAAACTAAATACGGACCTGTACCACACGAAACATTCTCTCAGATACTTTGAAGGTGGGAATCTGGGTACCCTGTCATCCTTCAACCTGGGACTTTGACAGGTCTTCAGGGGGAGTCCTTTGGGCCCCATCTCAACTCTCTCATTACAGAAGAGTCCAAGGATCTGGCCGTCCGTCTGCAACATTCATTGCAGCGTAAAGGAGAGTTAGAGCGGGCTCTCTCTGCTGTCACCGCCACACAGAAGAAGAAGGCGGAGAGGGTGAGTCCAACCACCTGCCCCGTCCCCTGGTAGCCTGGCTTCACAGACAGAGGAGTGAGCCTAAAGGTCCCTTCTGCAGGATGGAGTGTCCTGCCCAGAAGGCAGCATGGCCATTTCTCACTGCTTTTTTGTATGGTTGTTAGCGGCAGCTTGGGACTGAGTCAGCTGCTGTGGGTGAGTTGGGGGGCACTCTGGGGAGAGAACACAGGACGTAGAGCTTGGAGGCCAAGTGCCTGCCATGCCTTTACCTGGCTGTGGTCTTGGCCAAGTCCTAAGTGGGGTATTGGCTACTTGTACTGTGAAGGTACAGAAGAGTACCTTTAGTATGTTACCATTTCTGTAGAGAGAGGAAACGTGTGTGTGTGTGTACATATTATGATAATATACATAAAATATGTTTGCAAGTGTTCATAAAAACTCAGGAGAGAGCAACAGGGTGGCTGGGAGATACTTCCCTTCTGTACCTTCTGAGTCTGGGACTATGTGAATGTATTATCCTTTCAAAAAGTGAACAAAAGATTAATTTTCCCCTTCCTAGCTGTGCCCCCACCCCCAGCAAGAAAAATGGGCTTAGAGAATTGGATAGATCTGGGTGTTTAAATCCCAGCTCTGCCTAAGTGATCTTAGGCAAGCACTTAACCTCAAATACTCCATGTTTTTTCATCTACACAATAGAGGTCATCATAGTAACTGTCTCCCATGGTGGTTGCGAGGATTAAATGGGATTGCTAGCATGGTATCTGGTGAAGCACTCCATAAAAGTTCAAACAGTGGTAATAATAACAGTAATAACAATAGCAATATTATCTGATCTCTCTGGGCCTCTGTTAGCCAGCTATAAATTCGATCTCTTTCCCTGTCCCTTCCAACTTTACTGAGTTCTTTAAAAACCAAACCACGGGCTTGGAAATGCCTTGATCTTTACTGACCGAGTTGTATATTGGGCCTAGCCCTGGCCCTTTTAAGGGGCACTGTGTGGAATGGCCCGGCCTCCCCAGATTGAAACTTCTCACTCTTCAGCAGTTCTCCAGCCGCAGTAAAGCACGTATGGAGTGGAAGTTAGAGCAGTCCATGCGGGAGCAGGCACTGCTGAAAGCGCAGCTGACACAGGTGAGGTGTTCAGAGGGAGGGATGTGGAAGGAAGATGACCCCAGGTAACCAGGAGCAGGTGAGGACCAGTGACAGCCCTTCCTAATTTCTGTGCCCATTCTTGCAGTTGAAGGAGTCACTTAAAGAAGTCCAGCTAGAGAGGGATGAATATGCTGAACATCTAAAAGGAGAGAGGGCCCGGTGGCAGCAGAGGATGAGAAAAATGTCGCAGGAGGTGAGATCTGACCCTTCAGCCCCCCCCACATTAGATAGGTCACTGGATCTTTCTGGGCACCTGTAAAATGGGAATAGTACAGCCAGAGGTGGTCATGGGTCTGGGCTTTGTGGAGGTGGGGGCAGAGAGAGAGATGGTAGCATGTCCAGCCTCCAGCCCCTCTCTCCAGGGCCCTTTCCCCCTGTGCTTTGGGCAGGTTTGCTCGTTGAAGAAGGAGAAGAAGCATGATAAATATCGGGTAGAGAAGCTGGAGAGGAGCTTGTCCAAACTCAAAAACCAGATGGGTAAGATGGGGCTGGCGTGACCTGGCAGCAGGACTGGCATCAGAGGGCTGTGAGGGTGTCTTGGAGTGCCCCAGCGAGGTGGGTGGATGGAAGGGCTTTGAGGCAGAGGGAAAGAGGTCTGTGCCAGGAGACGGCAAGTCTTGTCATCTCAATGAGCCTCAGTGTCCCCATCAGCAAAGAGGGCCCGTTGTCAGCCACCCGCAGTGCTCTTTCTCTGAAAGTGCTTTGGAAGACTGGCTACCCATCTGGGTGCGAGGAATCATTAGCAGTGAGGCTAAGTTTGAGGAGCCGGAGAGGAGCTGTGCGCCAAGAGGAGGGTTTTTTCTTTTCTTTTCTTTTCTTTTTTTTTTGGAATCCAGAGGCTCTTATTATCTGCTTCCTTTCTCAGCTGAACCTCTGCCCCCGGAGCCCCCAGCAGTGCCCTCTGAGGTGGAGCTGCAGCACCTGAGGAAGGAACTAGAGAGAGTGGCAGGAGCGCTCCAGGCCCAGGTGGAGTACAATCAGCGCATAAGTCTCCTGAATGAGGGGCAAAAGGAGAGGCTTCGGGAGCAGGAGGAGAGGCTTCAGGAGCAGCAGGAGAGGCTTCCAGAGCAGGAGGAGAGGCTTCGGCAGCTGGCCGAGCCACAGAACAGCTTCAAGGAGCTGGTGCGTTGCCCCAGCTGGGGAGCCTGCCCTCCTCCCTAGCCCTCCAGGCCTTTGTTTCCCCACCTATAAAATGGGGCAGTGTAGCCCTCAAGTGAAATGTTACTCCTAAAGGCACCTGTGAGCCAGAGCCCTGCTCTGGTGGCTGTGGGAGACAGGGGATGATTTTTCTAACCTGCCTCCACCCTTCCCGGTGCCATGGGAGGCAGTCACCAAGTTCTGGGGTCTCCAGCTGCAGTGGGTGGCTGCTGATTGCTTCTCTCTGTCCAGAACAATGAGAACAAGAGCGTACTACAGTTGGAGCAGCAAGTAAAGGAGCTGCAGGAGAAGCTAGGCAAGGTGAAGGAGACGGTAACCTCCACCCCATCCAAGAAGGTCTGGGAGGTGGGCACCAGCCTCTGGGGAGGGGAGGTGCCAGGCCAGAGGCAGCTCCAGCCCGGGGGCAGGTGACCCCAGCACCCTCCAGGGCAGTCCTGTGGCTGTTTCTTGCTTCCTGCCCTCTGATTTTAGAGGTGGGTAGCCCTGGGCTCCTCCCAGGTCTGGACATCATCATTCCAGCTAGAGACATGGAGCACCCCCAATCACAGGGGAAGAGACAGAGTGGTATAACAGTCTTCTTATGCCAGACGCGGTGGCTTACGCCTATAGTGCCAACACTTTGGGAGGCTGAGGCAGGAGAATCACTTGAGGTTTGGAGTTTGAGATCAGCCTGGCCAACATGGTAAAACCTCATCTCTACTAAAATTACAAAAACAAAAAACAAAAAAAGAAAGAAAAATTAGTGGGGCATGGTGGTGGCGCATGCCTGTAATCCCACCTACTCAGGAGGCTGAGGCACGAGAATTGCTTGAGCCCAGGAGGTGGAGGTTGCAGTGAGCTGAGATTGCACCACTGCACTCCGGCCTGGGCCACAGAGTGACACTCTGTCTCAAAACAAAACAAAAAGACTCCTTAGATTAAAACTGGATTCCAGCCTCAGTTCCACTGGTCACCATTCAAGTACTTCACATCTCTAAGTCTCTGTTTCTTTAACTTCAAAAGGAAGTTAGCATTTTCCTTACAGAGGTGCTGAGGATTAAATGAGATAATACATGGGAAGCATTAGGCCTGTAGCACATTTAGCAGATGGTGGTTGGCTCCCACTACTTTTCTACCATTCTGTGGCCTACAGTTGAAATGGTGGGAAGAGGACATGAGATTTGAGGCTGGGGAAGGAGGCATGGGGTTCTAGGAAAGGGAGGCAGTCACTTAGGCCTGGAGTAAGGGGCCAGGGGCCTGGGCAGGCGACAGAGCCCCACAGTGCCCTCGCTACCCTATTAATGGGCCCAGAATCTGGAAACCAGCCACCACGTGCCCTCACACCCAGGGTCTTCCTGCAGGTGGAGCTGAAGAGCCAAGAGGCTCAGAGTCTGCAGCAGCAGCCAGACCATTACCTGGGTCACCTGCAGCAGTACGTGGCCACCTATCAGCAGCAGGTGGCCGCCTATCAGCAGCTGACCTGTGAGAAGGAGGCGCTGTACAGGCAGTGACTGCAGCAGACCCAGCTAATGAACCAGCTGCAGCAGCAGGAAGCTTGGGGCAAAGCGGTGGCCGAGATGGCCTGCCAAAAGTTGCAGGAGGCCCAGGGGAGGGAGCTGCCGAGGATGGGGCCGTGAGGGGGACGACCTGGCAAACTCTGTGCCTTCTCACTCTTTCCTGGCCCCTTAGGAGCGTCTGGAAGCTGCCAGCCAGCAGAAACAGCAGCTAACGGCCCAGTTGAGCCTCATGGCTCTCCCTGGGGAAGGTACGGGAGACCGCTCAGAGGAAGAGGAGAGAGCCCCAGGAGGAAGGGGGGACTGCTAGCAGCATAGGATTGAGGAGTTGGAAGAGACCTTTAGAACAGCTGGTCATTATACTAACCGGGTGCCTGCACTAAGTTCAGCATCAATATGGTGACCTCCTGTGAGCGGGGGGCCACCAAGTTGCCTAAGGATGGCTGAACTGGCCGAGGTCAGAAAGGGAGCAGGTCAGAACTCCCGCACCGACCAGTAGTGGGAATGTGCCTGGGCAGTATAGCAAGATCTTGGTTCTTCAAAGTAAAAATAAATAACAGCAGCTCATTCCTCTCTGGGGAGGGCCTGGCTCAGGGTTACACAATGAGGGTGGAGGCAGAGGTGGGCCCACAATACTTCCCTTGTTGAGTTGTCTGAAGACCCCTCTGGCCACCCCCCACAGGACACGGAGGAGAACATCTGGACAGTGAGGGGGAGGAGGCACCTCGGCCCATGCCGAGTGTCCCAGAGGACCTGGAGAGCAGGGAGGCCATGGTGAGCCTGACTCCCCCTGCACCCATTTTGCCACCTTTCTCTGTGGTCCCTCCAAGACCCCTTTATGCTCTTCGTTTCCCTGCCTTCTGATTTCTCTGGACCCTCACCCCTTCCGAGAGCCAGTGGTCAGACACCATTTCACCTGTGACCAACATGTGCAGTCTCTGGGGCCCCAAGGGAAGGGGCTGCGCTCCACCTCTCTGCCCCATTTCTTCTGTGTATGCCCCTAGAAGAATGCTCACATCTTGCCCTCAGGTGGCATTTTTCAAGTCCGCTGGAGCTAGTGCCCAGGAGAAGCAGGCACAGTTACAAGAGCAGGTGAAAGAGCAGAGGGTGTGCTGCCAGCGCCTGGCTCACCCGGTGGCCTCGGCCCAGAAGGAGCCAGAGGCAGCGGTCCCAGCCCCAGGGCCTGGGGGCGAGTCTGTGAGTGGGGAGACCCACCGGGCCCTGCAGGAAGTCATGGAGAAGCTGGCCCATGCCGGAACTCACCTCCGCCTTCTCCATGACTTGAAAATGCCACCTGAGGGCAGGTCGCTGGCGAGATGTGACCCCATTATTTTGGCTCCAGAGCGGCTTTATGGACCACCTGGAGGAGAAGGCAGACCTGAGTGAGCTGGTGGAGAAAGAAGAACTTGGATTCTTCCAGTACTACAGAGAGGGATGCCATCAGTGAGTGGGAGGCCAGGGCATGGCAGGGGGAGCTGCAGGGCTGTTGGAGGGGCCCCAGCGTCTGAGCCCTGTCCTCCCGCAGGAAAGTTTATCACCCTATAACAAAGCCAGGGGGCAGTGCCAAAGATGCAGCACCGGGAGGAGGACACCATCAGGCTGGCCCTGGACAGGGAGGAGATGAAGGTAGAGTGTGCAACATCTCTGCGGGGGTGGGGGTGGCTGTGACGGTGAGCGCTGGCAGCAGCGTGACAGCTGAGCACCCCTCCCTCCAGGTGAAGCTGCTGGAGCTGCAGGAGATGGTGTTGCAGCTGGTGGCGACTACAAGGGACACAGCAAATTCTTGGTGACTGCCCAGAACCCTGCTCATGAGCCCAGTCCAGGAGCCCCAGCCCCCCAGGAGCTTGGGGCTGCCCACAAGCATGGTGGTGAGTAGAGCCCTCAGGCGGGGTGGGCAGGCAGGAGCAGGGGGGCTCTCACTGAGCTCAGATCCCCGCCTCCCTCTCTCCAAAGATCTTTGTGAGGTGAGCCTCACTGACAGCGTGGAGCCTGTGCAAGGAGAGGCCAGGGAGGGTTCTCCCCACGACAACCCTACTGCACAGCCGATCGTGCAGGACCACCAGGAGCACCCAGGCTTGGGCAGCAACTGCTGTGTGCCATTCTTTTGCTGGGCTTGGCTGCCAAGAAGAAGGAGATAAACATGACCATCGTCAAAGAGCTGCTCAAGAAATTTTTAAAAAAGAAACAAAGTTATGGGGTTAATCTCCTACACAATTCATTTACTTCGTTTGAATGTTATAGCCACTTATGATTATTTGTGTTTCTAATTTATAGTTTAAGTTTATTTGTAAATAGTTAAAAGAGAGTGGGTCTCTGTGGCTTTCACTGATGTTCACTCTGGCATACTTTCGCAATTTTCTTTTTCAATTTCATGATTGTAGGTCATTAGCATGCATATTGAGTTTGCCCTTACGTGGTGGGAGTTCAAACACACAAAGACCCACTATTTGCACAAAACTATTCTTGCTGGTTTGGAATAGGCTGCCATGTGTTTTTAATGTTATTGAAGCATGTATATTCATTACAGAATTCAGATAAAATTTGCCTATGTTCTGCTATTGTTTGATCTAATCTTAATCACAGTGAGCTCTTCATTAGCACAATATGTGGTTTGCCCCAAGTTTGCACTATTTAATACTTTGTAATATGCCACCAAGAGTACTGACATTTAGAGTTGTTTAAAGGCCGAGAACTGGAAACAGCCTTTCCCTCATTTTCTGTGTATTGGTGATGGGAGTAATAACATTTTGGGGGAGCTTTTTAAATTTCACAGAAGAGGAAAGTTGCCTGCTCTGGCAGGTATGTGCAAGATAGAGTGTGTTTCATTTGTTCTGTTGCCAAGAATTAGTGCTGTACTATTGTAGTTCCTTTAGGATTTGTATGTGCTCTGGGCTCATGAAGATATTGCATCATGAGCTGCAGCAGTTGTACTCTTTTTTGATGACCTAAAAAGGGCTTATTTCTGAGGAATGAAAGGTTCCCATCATTGACTATGGATGTGGAAAACCTTTCCTAGCTTAGAGCATTTGTATCTATATTTTAAAGTCAGAGTTCATGTTACCTGTTTTAATCACATGACTGCATGTCCCAGTACACAAAAGGGCACTGGTTGGCATTCTTCTTAATGTATTTAGTAAAGATCAGAAGAAATCCTTTAAGAGTTTAAATGTCCCTGGAACACGCATACAGGCTCTAGTCAAGAATGAATTAGAGTGAAGGAAAGCTGTGTGACACCTGGCATTCCTCTGTTCATGGAGCTTCTTTGAGGCTTGAAGATTGATTTTACCATCTAGACCACTCTGCCTATTCTTCAACCACCTTGGTTACTTTGACATAGGAATTGACTTCTTTTCCTTGAATGGAAAACACTTTGAAATAATAATAAACATTGTTATAAACTAATATATGTGAGAGTGCTTAGTTGAAACAAAAAGGAGTTTTAGTAGACAGTATTATACTATCTTTGAAAATCAAGGAGAAGTTTATGCAACTTAAAATGTGTACAAACTGCAGTGCAATCTACTGTTGGTGAATGTCAGTGTATTATCAGGAAACATGTCTATACAATCACAGAGTTATATTTCCTCACAAACTTCTTTGTGAAGAGTGAAATGTGTTTCTGTACCTCTGGGTTTCACTTACGGGCATATTTTGTGCAGTATTTATGTGATTGTGCCTATGCATGATGAATGAATGAATTTCAGTTGTACATTGCCTAAATCATAACTTGATGATGCTTGGGAAAGACTCAACAGTTAAAACTTCATGAAGTTCTAATGTCTGTGTTCCAAAACACATCACATTATTAGGATGTAGGGAGATATGTATGTGTGCTCCCTGGGGTGGGGATTTCTAGTTACTAGACCATCTCCATTTTTAGCAGTTGGCATCCTCATGATACTTTTATAAATACGACATTAACAGGAGAGCAGCAGTACGATTTTGCCGATGGAATAACAGATTTGCCGGCAATCACTGAAAGAGTGCAAATATCGGGTCCTTGTGACTTCAACGGACTCTTCCAAATTGTATGAATGTATCAATGTATTAGATAAACCCAGTTTCAGAATGATAAAGAAAAAATGTTAGACCAAATAATGCGGCTAGTTAACAGTGGTACGATTTCTAGCCCGTGGCTTTAAAATGCACTTAAAGTCCTGTCCTTGCCTTTTATTTTCTGAACTTGATGTTTTTGCATTCTTTGAGTTCAGTTTAAAGACAACTACGAGCATCTGTAACCAATCTGACAATAATGTGTTCATCAGGTGCCTATGGATTAAATCACATACTGGCATATTTAAGCTGAATGTCAATCTGGAAAATAAATTGACTGTATTAACAGAAATACCACTCTTTGTGTAGATATTTGTCGTATATTTAAGAAAAAGCTAAAAAGAATGGAAATCGCATGACTATAACTTAAGTCTTTCTTCAAAGTGCATTGCAGTCTTTTGCGATACCTCATTCAGCCAAGTATTGGTATTCTTCCTCATTCGGTATAAGGCAGCTTTCAATTTGCTTAGAAGGCAACATTGGAAGGTTAGAGTTCATCAGAAACAGAATTCTAAAATGTGAGTTCAATTCAATAAATTTGAATTTCTGTAGGAAGAATCAAATCACCGATTTAAAGAGTGCAATATATAATAATCATTTTTAAAGTATTGGATTAAATCTGATAGGTTTTCCAGAAATGAACAAAAATCAGCTCTAAAACCAAAGCTGATTTTTAGAAAATTTGAAAATGTAAATCAGCCCTATCCATACTATAGTTTCTCTAAAACTTTATCTGAAAGAGTCATTTTAAAATAACTATTAAACAATGTAACTGCTATCTTAATGTTCTGAAATAAGTTAAAACATTTTAAAATATGAATACTGTAAAGGAAATAAATGGTGGGAAGGAAAAGTAGAGAAAGAAATGCCAATTCCAGTCCAAAGCTTTATTTGCCAAGTTTTCTTAGAATGAATTTTACCAATTTATGAATTCTTGTAAGCGGAATGTAAAACGGAAATACTGAAAGACTTTTGCCTAAAGTGGCATTATTGACTGCTGGTGTGATGCTACTGTAATGTAATAAATTATTAAGTTGTTGCAAAGTGCTGTTTTTGCCTTAAAATTTTATTCTGTGTGTCTTGAAAAATATAGTATTAAAGGTATTGATACTGTGCAAATGCTGAGCATGCTTGGCATGAGATAATGTTTCATTTTTACAAAATTGTAATATAACTATGCAAGGGTTTATTAAAAGAACACAAAATAAAAAAGTTATGGGATTAACAAAAGTTATGGGGTGAAAAAGTTATGGGATAAAAAATGTAAAAAAGTTGTGGCAAAAAAATCTTGTGACCAAAAAGTAGAAGAAAGTTTTATGAAAAGTTACCAAAAAAAGTTATGAAAAAGAAGTTATGGGATTTAAAAAAAAAGGCATGGGATAAAAATAAAAATAAAAATTAAAAGCAGGCCCCTGTCAGCAAAGCCTGGAGAAGTGGGGCTGGGGTCTCTCCACCACCACACTGTCCCTATCTCCCCTTCCCAGTCACCCCTTTACAATTAGGGTAGCAAGACAAGACCACTGTCTAACGAGGAAAGACAAACAGACCCTTTGCCACCTTGACCAGAGCTGAGTCCTTAAATTTCTGGATGATATTGTTATTTAAGAGCCAGAGGCTGGTGGAGTTGGTTTGTTTGGAGGAGGCCTCATGGCCTCCTTACTCTCACCATAGCAACTTTTCCCTCAGTGGGGGCTCCAATCTTCTTATTCAGAGAGGTAGCTGAGGCAGGACAGTGGGGCTAACTGTGGACCAGGCGAAGGCATGGGCTGCTGGGGTGGCCCCCCTTCCCCGGTGTATATATTGTGTCTGTGTAAGGTTTTGTATATTCCAGAGGGTAGGGCCACCCCTGTATCATACCTAGCGGTGGTTGGAGGTGGCACATGGGGAGGAGGTTCTAATAATTATTTGTGGCTGGGAAACTTACTTATTGCTAGCATAGGACAGAGGAAGAAGGCAGGGATGGGGTCATGGCTTCCCAGTGGTGTGATCACAGTTCACTGCAACCTCCAACTCTCATGCTCAAGTGATCCTCCCACCTCAGCCTCCCAGGTAGCTGGGAGTATAAGCATGCACTACTATGCCTGGCTAATTTTTAAATTTTTTGTAGAGAAAAGGTCTTGCTATGTTGCCCATGCTGGTCTTGAACTCCTGGGCTCAAGCGATTCTCCCATCTTGGCCTCCCAAAGCACTGGGGTTACAGGCATGAGACATTGCTCCTGTCCATAAGATTTTCTCTTTATTACTGTTTTGTTGTTGGTGGTGGTGTTTTGTTTTGTTTTTATTTTTTGACAGAGTCTCGGTCTGTTGCCTAAGCTGGAGTGCAGTGGTGCAATCTCTGCTCACTGCAACCTCCGCCTCCTGGTTCAAGCAATTCTTATGCCTCAGCCTCCCGAGTACCTGGGGTTATAGGCATAAGCCACTGCGCCTGGCTAATTTTTGGATTTTTAGTAGAGACAGAGTTTTGCCATGTTGGCCAGATTGGTCTTGAACTCCTGGCCTTAAGCAATCCGCCCTCCTCAGCCTCCCAAAGTGCTGGGATTACAGGTGTGAGCCACTGCTCCTGGCTAAGATCCCATCTCTATTTAAATAAAAAAAGAAAATTCAGAATCTATGGAACACAGAACACCAAAGGCCAGTTATTTACCTCTCTGAGGTAATCTGTGTAAACAATTTGATATATATCCTTTCAAGTTCATACTTGCTATGCATACATATATATACACACATACATTGACATATTCCCCCTTCCCTGCTGTCATGCTATTAGTCTACTTTTTTTTGTAGAAATTGGACCAACTCTATGTTCTTTGCTGGCCCGTATTTCTCCTATTCAGTGATGTGTTATGAATATCTGTTTAAGTCAATGTATGCAACTCTTTAATATCATTTTAAAAGGTTACGACATACGATCATATGAAGGCATTAGAATTTATTCCAACAGTTCCCTTTTGCACATTTAATAATTTCCATTGATTTGCCAGGAAGAACATTCTCGTGTCATGGCTAAATCCTTTTGTATGGACATCCTTAATTATTCCCTTAAGATAAACTTTTAAATAAAGTTGCTAGATTAGTCTCGTTTCTTAAGTTCCTTTTTGGTAGTTTATATGTAACACTGTAGTTTTATATGTACTTACAAATACCTATAGTGCCAGTAGAAAATGGGATAAAATTAAACTCTTTCACATATGCCAAATACATTTTGATTTAGCGCTTTATTAACTGCATGATTACAGTCTCTGTATCTTTTGATTTACCTTTCTATCTTTACAATTTTCAGCCGAGACACTTAGCGGTCACATAATAAATTAAGGTTTTCTTTTTTTAATAATCTCCATCTTTCTAAATATGGTGAGTCACAGTCAGCTATTTTTGGATTGTTGAAAGCTGTGACTGTTCTAAATCGGAGCCCAGAAATCATGCCACTTACCAAATATGCTTTGTCTTCCAACATCAGAGTGTCTGGTAGAAGGTGACTGTTCTTGGAATTTAAAAAATCTGAACAGGACAAGACAAGAATCTGGACACTTTTTCTGTTTCTGATAATATGATTGAGTAGGTAGACATGCTGGATAATCCTTGCAAAGACATACTTGAACTTCCCCCAAAAAAAAATAAAATCCAGAATCTCTAAGAATGAAGATGGAGTGAAAATCAGAAGGGCTGCTGAGAGAATAATGGGGAAGCAGCCCCAGTTATCAAGGGACATGTCCATGTGTTCAATAGAAAGTTTCAGATGTAAAAAAAAGTTGAGAAAAATAATATATATATTATATATAATAAATGATATAATTGCCCTACATATACACATCATCAACAATTTTTCATTCATGGTATGGACAGTTTTTTTTTTTTTTTGGTTGTTTTTTGTTTGTTTGTTTGTTTTTAAAGGTGGGATTTTGCTGTGGTTGCCCAGGCTGGAGTGCAGTGGCATGATCTTGGCTCACTGCAACTTCCACCTCCCAGGTTCAAGCGATTCTCCTGCCTCAGCTTCCCGAGTAGCTGGGATTACAGGCACCCGGCACCACATCCGGCTAATTGTTGTATTTTTAGTAGAGATGGTGTTTCACCACGTTGGCCAGGCTGGTCTTGAACTCCTGACCTCAGGTGATCCACCTGCCTCGGTCTCCCAAAGTGCTGAGACTACAGGCGTGAGCCACCACACCTGGCCACAGCCAGTTTTGTTTCATTTATATTCCCACTTCATTTATATACATTCCTTCTTCCTCTGAATGATTTTGAAGTAAAACCTATACATCCTATCATTTTTAATTACCTTATATGTATCTGTAGAAGACAAGGAATTCTTAAAAATAAATATATTCACAATGCCATTAAATATCAAAAAATTAATATTCTGAAAATAGCCACAAATCCAGAGTTGACATTTTGTTGACTTTCTCATAGGTGACTTTTTTTCTAGTTTATCTATTTCAATCAGATAACTGTTTGCTCATATTTACATTCCTTACTGAACAATGTCTAAACTTAAACTGACATAAAATGGAGATGATCTTCTAACCAGATGCTTAGTGTAAGAAAAAACTTCAAACTGCAAGAGGAGTCCCTCCAAATACAGAAAGGACCAGTATTTTAAGAGGTATGTTAACTAAAATGTGGCAATGTAAGGAGCAAAGCAGGAAGAACCTTTAAGTCCTCAACTTACAAGTCAATTTCATAGTCAGTTTCCCTGGTCCTTCCACAACAACCTCCCCCATCTGTTTTCTCTACAATGGAGGTAACAATAGTAGCTATTCCAGAGCAGGAAAAGGCTTAGAGCAGTGCTAGAAGAGGGTCGTGGCTATATAAAGTTTAGCTATTTGTGTATTGTAACAAACCACCTTTTTTTTTTTTTGTCAATAATAGATTTCTTTTGTAAAAGTAGCAGCCTCCTGTCTGGGGACAACTGCAGTTCCACTAAGTGAACATTGGTGTCTGCTAACCTTTGCCTCTATTTCTCTCAATATACTGTGAAGCTGTTCCTGGATTTAGCAATTTTATATACTTCTTTTTCTTTATTATTCTTTTTTTCCTTTCCCTTTTCCTGAGACACAGTCCTGCTCTATCACCCAGTCTGGACTGCAGCAGCGCCATCATGGCTCACTGCCACCTCCACCCCGGGCTCAAGCAATCCTCCTGCATCAGCCTTCAGGGTAGCTGGGAGTACCCAGGGGGGCCCACCAGGTCTGGCTAATCTTTGTGGTTTTTGTTTTGTTTTTCCGTTAAGGGACTGGGTTTCCGGCCAGGCACAGTGACTCACGCCTGCAATCGCACCACCCCTGGAGGCCGAGGCCGGCGGATCTCCCCAGGTGAGGAGCAGGAGACCAGCCCGACCAACATGGAGAAACCCCATCTCAACCTAAATAAATAAATAAATAAATAAATAAATAAATAAATAAAAGTAGCCAGGCTTGGTGGCTCACGCCCTTGATCCCAGCCACTCAGGAGGCTGAAGCAGGAGAATCACCCAAACCCGGGAGGCGGAGGCCCGGCGAGCCGAGACCGCGCCACTGCACTCCAGCCTGGGCAACAAGAGGGAAACTCCGTCTCAGAAAAAAAAAAAACAGGTTTCACCATGTTGCCCAAGCGGGTCTGGATCTCCTAGGCTCAAGCGATTTGCCACACTCAGCCGTCCAAAATCCTAGGATCACAAGCGTGAGCCATGACGCCAGGCCGATCTATTCCTGTCTGATTAAAAATTGGGCCGGTTGCGGTGGTTCACGCCTGCGATCCCAGCACCCCGGGAGGCTGAGGCGGGCGGATAACCTGAGGTCAGATTGAGGCCAGCCTGAGTAACATGGAGAAACCCCATCTCTACCAAAAAAAAAAAAAAAAAAAAAAAAAAATTAGCAGGGCATGGTGGCTCACGCTTGCAATCCCAGCCACTCGGGAGGCTGAGCCAGGAGAACCACCCAAACCCGGGAGGCTGAGGCTGCGGGGAGCTGAGACCCTGCCACTGCACTCCAGCCTGGGCAACAAGAGTGAAACTCCCTCTCAAAAAAAAAAAAAGAGAGAGAGAGAGAGAGACTGAGTTTCACCATGTTGCCCAGGCCGGCGTGTAACTCCTAGGCTCAAGCGATCCGCAGCGCTCGGCCATCGGAAGTCCTGGGATCACAAGCATGAGCCGCCACGCCAGGCCCATCTGTTCCTTTCTCATTAATAAATTGCGCCCGGCGCGGTGGCTCCCTCCTGCAACCCCACCACCCTGGGAGGCCGAGGCGGGCGGATCACCTGAGGTCGGGAGTTTGAGACCAGCCTGACCAACATGGAGAAACCCGTCTCTACCAAAAAAGAAAAAAAAATAAGCTGGGCATGGTGGCTCACGCCTGCAATCCCACCACCCCGGGAGGTCGAAGCAGACGGGTAATCTGAGGTCAGGAGTTTGAGACTACCCTGACGAAGGGAGAAACCCCGTCTATACCAAAAAAAAAAAAAAAAAAAAAAATACAAAAAGAGCTGGGCATGTTGGCTCATGCCTGCAATCTCAGCTACTTGGTAAGCTGAGGCAGGAGAACCACCCAAATCCGGGAAGCGGAGGCTGCGGGGAGCTGAGACCGCGCCACTGCACTCCAACCGGGCAACAAGAGTGAAACTGCCGCAAAAAAAAAAAAAAAAAAAAAAAAAAAAAAGAGAGAGCGGGTTTCACCGTGTTGCCCCGGCCTGTCTGGAATTCCTAGGCTCAAGGGATCCCCGGCCCTATTCCTTTCTGATTTATAGATTAGGCCTTGCGCGCTGGCTCACGCTTGCAATCCCAGCACCTCCGGACGCCGAGGCGGGCGGATAACCTGAGGTGGGAAGTTTGAGACCAGCCTTATGAACATGGAGAAACCCCATCTCCAACAATAAAAACAAAAACAAACAAAAAACAAAATGAGCTGGGCATGGTGGCTCACGCGTGCAATCCCAGCCACTCGGGAGGCTGTGGCAGGAGAACCACCCAAACCCTGGAGGCGGAGGCCCGTTGAGCCAAGACCTCACCACTGCACTCCAGGCTGGGCAACAAGAGCGAATCTCCGCCTCAAAACAAACAAAAAGTGACCAGGTTTCACCATGTTACCCAGGCAGGTCTGGAACTCCTAGGCTCAAGTGATCCGCCGCGCTTGCCGTCCAAATTCCTGGGATCACAAGCGTGAGCCACCATGCCAGGCCGATCTAGTCCTTTATGATTAATAAACTGGACCGGGCGCGCTGGCTCACGCCTGCAATCCCAGCATCCCCAGAGGCCGAGGAGGTGGGCAGATAACCTGAGGTCGGGAGTTTGAGACCAGCCTGATGAATATGGAGAAACCCTGCCTGTACCCCCCCCGCCAAAAAAAAGAGAGACCGGGTTTCACCATGTTGCCCAAGCCGGTGTGGAACTCCTAGGCTCAAGTGATCCCCAGCGCTCGGCCGTCCGACGTCCTGGGATCACAAGCGTGAACCACCACGCCAGGCTGATTTATTTTTTTCTGATTAATCAATTGGGCCTTGCGCGCTGGCTCACGCCTGCAATCCCAGCATCCCCGGAAGCCAAGGCAGGCGGATAACCTGAGGTCCTGAGTTTGAGACCAGCCTGACCAACAGGGAGAAACCCTGTGTGTACCAAAAGAAAAAAAAAAAGAAAATTAGCCGGGCATGGTGGCTCACACCTGCAATCTCAGCCACTAGGGAGGCTGAGGCAGGAGAACCACCCAAACCCAAGAGGTGGAGGTGGCAGGGAGCCGAGACTGCACCACTGCACTCCAGCCTGGGCAACAAGAGCAAAACTCTGCCTCCAAAAAAACAAAAAAAAGAGAGAGACCGAGTTCCACCATGTTGCCCAGGCCAGTCTGGATCTCCTAGGCTCAAGTGATCCCCAGTGCTCCATCATCCAAAGTCCCTGGATCACAAGCGTGAGCCACCACGCCAGGCCGATCTATTCCTCTCTGATTAATAAATTAGGCGGGGTGCAGTGGCTCACACCTGCAGTCCTGTAGAGGGATTTTTAAGGAATTAGATAGACTCATGGGGTTTAGGAGGACATTTATTAATTATTTAGGTGCACCGGCCCAGTCGGATTAACATTTAAAGGATTGAGCACTGAACCAAGAGTTACCTTTCAAGCATTATGTGGGGCGAAGGGGGAGATCTGTGCAGGGAGAAGTATATTATAGAAGCGAGAAACAAAGATTGTTATTTAATTGAAACATGCATTATATTATTTTTTACTATTTAAGGAAAAATATGTTTTGTGACTTGAGTTTATTTGTTTAGTGACCTTGTAGTTGCACAGTTAAGGAATTAGTCGGGCATGGTGGCTCACACCGCAATCCCAGCCACTCGGGAGGCTTTGGCAGGAGAACCACCCAAACCCCGGAGACGGAGGTCTGGCAAGCTGAGACCTCGCCACTGCACTCCAGCCTGGACAGCAAGAGCAAATTTCCCCCTAAAAAAAAATATATATGACTGGGTTTCACCATGTTGTCCAGGCCGGTCTGGAACTCCTAGGCTCAAGCAATCTGGCTCTGGATGTCTTTAACTTGTGATTGAAAGCGTATTAAGATGTTGGGTGTATCAACAGTCCGGAGGACAAGAAGGAAAATCCTGGCATGTGAAATATTCTGCAACAAGAAAAGCAATCGGAGAGGTGACTACATTCACTGCAGCTGTTTTGCCCTCTTCTTCCCCACCCCCCACCCCCCACCCCCCCCCCGTCTCTTTCCTGGAAGTTCCCTAGTAAGAAGTAAAAGAGATAATGGCTTTCGAGTGCATGTTTTTCCTGGAATTGGAAGGAATTTTAACAAAGGAGCCCTTCACAATGAAACCCCCCCACACCCCTGCTTTTCACCTGAAGTAGGACAAGATCGTCGCCCCCACCATCATTCTCCACGTGACCCCAGGTGGGGATGGGTAGTGGACACTACTGATAAGCTCTTAGCAATTTCCCTATTTGTGGACTCTGAAGCTCCTTAGCTTGACAACTGATGCATAAGTTTTCTTTTGTGGGATAAGAATAGGAGAATAGGTGACCTTTTCCCCCTGAATTCCCATCCTGGGGCCAGGGAAGAGAGCCCAGGATCCCTTCTCTTGGCCTTCACACTGTGGGAAAGAGTACCTAGAGTTAAAAGCCTGATAAATGCCCTCGAACAGCTTTGAAAATCACAAGGTCAGGAGATCGAGGCCATCCTGCCTAACACGGTCAAACCCGTCTCTACTAAAAAAAAAAAAAAAAAAAAATTGGCTTATGCCTGCAATTTTAACACTTTGGGAGGCAGAGGTGGGAGGATCATTTTACCTAGGAGTTTGAGACCAGCCTGGGCAACATAGTGAGATCTTGTCTCTACAAAAACAGTTTTAAATTAGTCAGGCGTGGTGGTGCATACCTGTAGCCCCAGCTACTTAGGAGGCTGGGGCAGGAGAATCCTGCTGCTGCATTTTGTGCTACTTTTAAAAATATTTGGTAAAATTCAGGAGTAAAGCCGTCGGGTCTTGGGCTTTTCTTTCCCGGGAAACTTTTTTTTATTTTTTGAGAGGGCGTCTCGCTCTGTCGCCCAGGCTGGAGTGCAGTGGCCTGATCTCGACTCACTGCAGGCTCCGCCCCTCAGGTTCACGCCATTCTCCTACCTCAGCCTCCTGAGTAGCTGGGACTAGAGGCACCCGCCACCATGCCCAGCTAATTTTTTTTTTTTTTTTGTATTTTTTTTAGTAGAGACGGGGTTTGACCGTGTTAGCCAGGATGGTCTCCATCTCCTGACCTCGTGATCCGCCCGCCTCGGCTTCCCAAAGTGCTGGGATTACACGCGTGAGCCACTGCACCCGGCTTTTCCTGGGAAAATTGTTTCCGTCTCACTACTTATTGGTCTTTTCAGGTTTTGGATTTCTTTGTGGTTCATTCTTGCTAGGTTGTATGTATCTAGGAAAGTATCCATTTATTCTAGATTTTCTAATTTATTGGTCTATAGTTGCTCATACTAGCCTCTAATGATCCTTAGAATTTCTACAGTATCAATGAAAATGTCCCCGTTTTCATCTTGATTTTATTTATTTAGGGTTTTTTGTTTTTTTTTTAGTGTGGCTAAAGGTTACTGGTTTGGTTTATCTTTTTTAAAAAACGAACTTTTCGTTTTGTTCATATTTTGTATTTTTTCATTTCAATTTCATTAATTTTTGCTCTTATCTTTATTCTTTCCTTTCTTCTATACTTATTTTGGGTCTGGTTTATTCTTGCTTTTCTAGTTCTTTTAAGATGTATCGGCGCCACGGGCCCCGCAGAGCCAGGGCGGCTCCTGCCGGTAGCCTGTGTGTGGGCCCCGGCCAGCCGCGCCCCCAGTCCATATCGCCCTTCACTGCCCCGAGGCTGGCGCGGCTATGGGGCGCGGGGCCGGCGCTGCTCTGGGGCGTTGGAGCCGCGCGCCGCTGGAGGAGCTGCTGCCGGGGCGGGGGTCTGGGCGGCTCGGGGGGCCACGCGGGCCTCGGACGGCTCCCGGGGCTGTGGGCTTGGGCCCGGCAGCTGCAGGTGCGGGGCTCTTGCCGGCCGGGCGCTCCTCGGCTCCCGCGCGCCGGGTTCCCGGGCGGTCCCACCGCCACTGCCTGGGCAGGGGAGGAGGCCTGGCGGAGCGGGCGGGCGGCGCCTTCCCGGGACGACCAGCGGCTACGACCCATGGCGCCCGGACTCTCGGAGGCCGGGAAGCTCCTGGGGCTGGAGTTCCCTGAGCGCCAGAGGCTGGCAGCTGCGGTTGGATTTCTCCGATGTCCGGTGTTATCTCCATGTCTGCCCCTTTCTTCCTGGGGAAGATCATCGATGCCATCTATACCAACCCCACTGTGGACTACAGCGACAACCTGACCCGCCTCTGCCTTGGCCTCAGTGGCGTGTTTCTGTGTGGTGCTGCCGCCAATGCCATTCGTGTCTACCTCATGCAAACTTCACGTCAGCGCGTTGTGAAGAGGCTGAGAACTTCGTTATTCTCCTCCATTCTGGGGCAGGAGGTTGCTTTCTCTGACAAGGCTGGCACAGGGGAATTGATTAACCGCCTCTCATCGGACACTGCACTCCTGGGGCGCTCAGTGACTGAAAACCTCTCAGATGGGCTCAGGGCCGGGGCCCGGGCTTCTGTAGGCATCAGGACGATGTTTTGTGTCTCACCTAATCGGGCCACCTTTGTTGTGAGTGTGGTGCCTCTAGTGTCAATCATTGATGTAATTTATGGACGATATCTACGGAAACTGACCAAAGTCACCCAGGATTCGCTGGCACAAGCCACTCAGGAGGAACGTATTGGAAATGTTAAGAACTGTTCGAGCTTTTGGGAAAGAAATGACTGAAATAGAAAAATAGGCCAGCAAAGTGGACCATGTGATGTAGTCAGCAAGGAAAGCGGCATTCGCTCAGGCTGGCTTCTTTGGAGAACTAGGCTGTCCGGAAACCTGATTGTGCTTTCTGTCCTGTACAAAGGGGGGCTGCTGATGGGCAGTGCCCACATGACCATGGGTGAACTCTCTTCCTTCCTATGTATGCTTTCGGGGTTGGAATAAGCATTGGAGGTCTGAGCTTTTTCTACTCGGAGCTGATGAAAGGACTGGGTGCCGGGGGGCGCCTCTGGGAGCTCCTGGAGAGAGAGCCCAATCTGCCTTTTAAGGAGGGGGAAGGGTTATCTTAAATGAGAAAAGCTTCCAGGGTGCTTTGGAGTTTAAGAACGTGCATTTTGCCGATCCCGCTTGCCCAGAGGCGCCCATATTTCAGGATTTCAGCCTTTCCATTCCGTCAGGATCTGTCACGGCACTGGTTGGCCCAGGTGGTTCTGGCAAATCAACAGTGCTTTCGCTCCTGCTGAGGTTGTTCGACCCTGCTTCTGGAACTATCAGTCTTGATGGCCATGACATCCGTCAGCTAAACCCAGTGTGGCTGAGATCCAAGATTGGGACAGTGAGACAGGAAACCCATTTTGTTTTCTTGCTCTATCACTGAGAACATTGCTTATGGTGCTGATGGCCTTCCTCTGTGACCGCTGAGCAAGTCCAGAGAGTGGCTGAAGTGGCCAATGCAGTGGTCTTGATCCGGAATTTCCCCCAAGGGTTCAACACTGTGGTTGGAGAAAAGGGTGTTCTCCTCTCAGGTGGGCAGAAACAGCGGATTGCAATTGCCCGTGCTCTGCTGAAGAATCCCAAAATTCTTCTCCTAGATGAAGCAACCAGTGCGCTGGATGCTGAAAATGAGTACCTTGTTCAAGAAGCTCTAGATCCACTGATGGATGGAAGAACAGCGTTAGTTATTGCCCATCATCTCTCCACCATTAAGAATGCTAATATGGTTGCTGTTCTTGACCAAGGAAAAATTACTGAATATGGAAAACACGAAGAGCTGCTTTCAAAACCAAATGGGATATACAGAAAACTAATGAACAAGCAAAGTTTTATTTCAGCCTAAGGAAACAATTACTGGTAAACAACATGAGAGACTTTAATGCAAAACAGTATTGTAGAGAAAAAAAACCTCAGAGACTGCATGAAATATGTAAACCATATATCAAGTTATTTGAAAAATAGCTATTTTTTCCAAAGCGTGTAAAATATTGCTTTGAAATGTACCTGTTCTCAAGATCTTTTTATTCAGAGTTTTAACCATTGTAACTTTTTAAATGTCTATAGCACTGAAGTTATTTTCAGGTTTTGTATTTTCTTTCATTGTGGAATATTTTAATTAATATAGCATGGCACCTCATTTTCTTTTGCCTGCTGTTAAAGATGGAAGCTGTTGTCAAATGACAACTTTAAAAAGGGAAGTATAAATAAAAAGCCTGATTATTTTAGGCCAGTTTGCCAATCACTGTGTAATTCCTCTGGTAGTATTCTACCTACTTTAAGTCTAATTTTACTAGATAGAGTAATGGAAAATGAAAATTTAACCCTTTATTCCGATAATCTCATGAAGCAAACCTAACTATTTAACATCAGCTGGAAAGAAGGGAACATTTATATTGCCCGTCTCCTGTGTCTTCAAAGGTGTGAGAGTTGAGGAATATGTGTTCCTACGGGAACTATGTTTGAATATGTGCAGTTTTCAACATTTTGGCAAATGAAAGCCTGACAAGTTTTTAAAAGGGCAGAAGCTTTATTTTTTGAACAGAAAAATCTATTTTTTAAATTCACATGTTTGTATGAGTACTTCTGGGAAGCAAGGGATGAACTGCTAGGTATTATTAAGAATGAATGATTTTTGCATTTAAGTTGTTTGAAGGCATGTATTTTGAAAAATATCTGTTACAAATTTATAATTTCAAGACATACTAAATCTTATAATACTTTTGGAATTTCATTAATAAGGCTAAAATCTGAGGAATGTAACTAATTTTCAGCCTTAAGACACTTAAGTTTGGAAGTCCTTGCTATTCAACAGAATAACAAGAAACCTTCAGAATGTATCACTCTCCCAAAAAGAAGATATTAATAAGCCCTTTTCTTTTATTCATGGTTATAGTTTTTTTATAGTCTCAAAATTCCTAAAGCAATGCTGACAGCCATTGAATTTGCCATATTTTGTATTCAGTGCTGTTAATGTGCTGTTGCCTCAAGAAAAAGTGCTTTTTCTCCATTGATGAGGCTAGACCCTAAGAGGTAATTAAGTCAATGTAAATCAAATGGAAGTTTTGCCATGAACTAAGCATTTATTAGTTCCCTGATTAGACTGGAAGAAGAAACCGCTATTTCATGACAAGCATGGAATATTATATTTTCTTCTTCATAATTAATGAATAAAATTGATATGAGCGAATGAATGTAGTATTTTTTGAATTAGTAAACAGTACATCTGTGACAATCATTTTAACAAGCTCTACTTGTGTTCTTTATAAAGTGTGATTTTCAGAAAGCAAACAAAACACAATTAAAAGGTTGAATCTGAGGAAAATAATGCTTGTACCATAGAAGTATTTACAAAATTGCATTTCATTGTTATGTTTTATTTTCTGATACCTGATGTTCAATTATATCTGTAGGTAATATTTTATATCATAGATTAAAATTTATAGTGACCTTAAAAAAAGATGTATCATCAGGTTATTTATTTGAGGTTTTTCACTTTTTTGATCTTGGAAATTATAGGTATAAATTTCCCTCTTACTACTGCTGTTTGCTGTATCCCATAGGTTTTGGTATGTTGTGTTGCCGTTTTTATCTGCTTCAATAAATTTTTCAATTTCTTCTGAATTTCTTTGTTGAAATTGTAAGGATCATTAGAGGCTACTATGAGCAACCATAGGCCAGAAATTAGAAAACCTAGACTATATGGATACATATAGATACAGAAAAATTCACATTATGAATTTGTTCTTAAATAAGCTTTGGTAATTTGTCTCTTTAAAGAACTTTAAGCTGCCAAATTCTTGAGTATGGAATTGTTCATAATAGTTATTATCATTTAAATATAGAGGTTCTGTAATGATATTTCTTCTTTTATCAGTCCTTTTTTCTTAGTCTTACTAGTATGTAACAACTTTACTGATTTTTTCAAAGGAACTTTTCACTTTGTGAATTTATTTACTTTCAATTTCATTTATTTCTTTCATTACCTGTTATTTTATTTTTTCAAATTACGTTTTATTTGTTTATTTTTTCATTGACTTTTAAACCTATGTATTTTTCTAATAGAAGAATTTCAAATAATAAATTACCCTCTCAATTTAACTCTACACCACAAATATGAAGCTTTTATTATCATAATTTTGTTTTATTTTATTTTTTTAATTGGCACATAATAATTGTGCATATTTATGGGTACATAGTGATGTTTCAGTACTCATAGTGTATATATTTAATTACCCTGATGAGGTGATGGTAATTAGCATATCCATCATTGCAAACATTTATCATTTCTTTGTTTTGGGAACATTCAATATCCTTTCCTAACTATTTGAAGCTATATATTATTGTTAACTATTGTCATACCATAATGGTATAGAGCATTAGAACTTATTCCTCCTATCTAGCTTTAATTTTGAATCTTTTAACAAATCTCTCCCTATCCCTCCCTCCCTCTTATACTTTCCAGCCTCTAGCATCCTCTGTTTTAACTTCTATAAGATCAAAATATTTTAGCTTCCACATATGAGTGAGAAGCTGTAATGTTTAACTTTCTCTTCTTGGCTCATTTCACTCACATAATACACTCCATTTCTATGCACGTTGCTTTTATGGCCGAATAGTACTTCATTGTGTATCTATTCCTTTTCCCCTCCTGTCCCCTCCCTTCCCCTCCTCTCCCCTCCCCTCTCCTTCCTTTCCCTTCTTGAGATGGAGTCTTGCTCTGGAGTGCAATGGTGTGATCTTGGCTCACTGTAACCTCTGCCTCTCGGATTCAAGTGATCTTCCACCTCAGCCTCCCGAGTAGCTGGGGACGTGCCACCATGCCCAGCTAATTTTTATATTTGTAGTAGAGATGGGGTTTCACCATGGTGGCCAGGCTAGTCTCGAACTCCTGACCTCCAGTGATCCACCCATCTTGGCCTTCCAAAGTGCTGGGATTGCAGGCGTGAGCCACCGTGCCCGGCCTATATACCACATTTTCTTTAACCATCATCTGTTGCTGGACCCTTAGGTTGATTCCATATCTTGCCTATTGTGAATAGTGCTGCAATAAACATCTAGGTGCAGATGTTTATTTAATATACTGTTTTCCTTATTTCATATTTTTTCTAAATTATCTTTTGATTTCTTTTATGAACTATGAGTTAAATAGTGTTTCATGTTATTTACAACTATTTGGGGGTTTCCTAGGAATCTCTTATGTCATCGATTTCAAATTAAATTTTATTGTGATCAGAGAATATATTCTATAAAATCTAAAGCTTAAATTCATTTAAACTTACTCTTTGATTCAGCATTTGGCCTATGTTGGTGGTGCTTTCAATACACAAGAAAACAACGTATATTCAGCATTTGAAATGTAGTTTTTATAAATGTCAATAAGATCAAGGTGATTTATAATGAAGTTGAAATGTTCTATAGCCATACGAATGGTTTGTCTTACTGTTCAATCAGTGATGAACAGAGGGATGTTAAAATCTTTAATTATTATTGTCATTTATCCATTTCTCCCTTCAATTCTGCTTTTTCCTTCATGAATTATGAGGCTTTATTATTAAGTTGGTGTCCCTTTCATAATTATGAAATGGGGGCATTTCATAATTATGGACATATATGTCATATTAGGACAATAATATAATAACCAATTCATCGGAGGACAATAATATTGCTTATATTATTGTCCTCCGATGAATTGGTTATTTCATAATTATGAAATGCCCCCATTTTCTCTTATAATGCACCCTCTTTTCCAGTCTACATTGCATTTTGCTAATATAGCCACACAAGCTTCCTAATGCTTGCTGTGTATATGGTTTATCTTTTCTTGTAGGTTTACTTTTCATCTATCTGTGTCTTTATGTTTAATATATGTTTCTGGTAGACAACATTAGTTGGGTCTCATTCTTTTGTCTAATATGACAGTCTCTACCTTGTAATTGAATAATTTAGTTCATAAATATGTTAAATGAAATGTGTTGCCACTTTTAAAAACTGTACAATCTCTTGTTTCTCTTCTCGTATTTTTGTTTAATTGTATTTTAAGTATTCATTTTAAATTGCATAGATGAGTTAGTTGCAACGCTTTTTTGTATTGAGTTATTTGTATTACAATAATCATCAATTTATACTTAACTAATCTAAATTTTACTTCGAGGTAATTTTTGACAACTTCATATATAATGTAAAAAACTGATGACATCTGTTCTATTTTTACATTCTCTCCAGTGATTGATAGTGTTGCCTACTTTGTCAAATCAAAACAAGGCAACATTTTCCTAAAAAGTGATCTGTGCTCCACCTATCCTATTCATATGCACAGAAGACTTTCAGGGCAGAAAACTATTCTGCATGATACTATACTGGTATATGAATTTGCCTAAACTCATAGAATGTATGACAGCAAGCGTGGACCCTAATATAACTATGGACCTTGGTGATAAGGATGTGCCAGTGCAGGTTCATCAGCGGTAAGTAATGTGCCACTCCAGAGGAGAATGACAGCAAGGGGTCAGGCTGTGCCTGTGTGGACACAATGATGTATGAGAAATCTTTGTATCTTTCTTTCAATTTTGCTGTGAACTTACAACTGCCCTAAAAATAAAGTCTATTAAAAAAACCCAAAACAACAACAACAAAAACTGATGACGGTAACATTTCCTTTATTCCCCCTCTGTCTTTTGTGATTTTTTTTAGTATAAGTTTTTCTATCCACATCATAAACCCCACAATAAAATGATATCTTTTTAAATTTAAATAGTCAGTTTCCCTTCAACAAAATCGACAGATTAAAAAAAAGTATTTCCTGTTACTCATATACTTACCATTTCTATGCTTTTCATTTCCTCTAATCTGGAGTTTAGATTCGATGTTATTTCCCTTCAGGCCAAAAAACTTCTGCTAGCATGTTTTGTAGTACAGATTTGCTGGTGACAAATTGGCCCATTTAATTTTTCCGAAAATGTCTTAATTTTACCTTCAACTTTGAAAGATACTTTAATAATATATAGAAACGAACCTGATGCTCTGTCATCTCCAAATACTTTAGTAGACTGATTCTCAACCAGGGGGAGTTTTGCCCTCCAGGAAACATCTGATAATATCTCAAGATATTTTTAGTTGTTAGCCTGGGGAAAGGTGTGAGGAGGATGCTACTGTCATTTAGTTATTAAAGGCAAACCAAGTCGCTAAACATCCTGCAATTCACAGGAAATGCCCCCAACAAAGAATTATGTGGCCCAAATGTCAGAAGCGATAGTGCCAAAGTTGAAAAACCTTGCTTTCATATATATTTTCTACAAACACAATTGTGTCTATATATGTATATACATATATATAATTCTATATATTACAAATCTATTACAGTAATATATGTGCCCCCCCAAATGCAATACGTGCACAGTACAACGAACAAAACCAGAAAATTAATATTAATATATTGCTACATCTAATTATCAAGTCCGCATTAAAATTTCACCAATAGTCAGCCGGGCACGGTGGCTCACGCCTGTAATCCCAGCACTTTGGGAGGCCGAGGCGGATGGGTCACGAGGTCAGGCGATCAAGACCATCCTGGCTAACACGGTGAAACCCCGTCTCTACTAAAAATACAAAAAAAAAAAAGGAAAAAATTAGCCGGGCGTGGTGGTGGGTGCCTGTAGTCCCAGCTACTCGGGAGGCTGAGGCAGGAGAATGGCGTGAACCCAGGAGGCCAGGCTTGCAGTGAGCCCAGACCGCGCCACTGCACTCCAGGCTGGGCGACAGACGGAGACCCCGTCTCAAAAAAAAAAAAAAATTCACCAATAGTCCCAATAATGTTTCATAGCAAAAGGATCAAGTTCAGAATCATGCATTGCCTTTCATTGTCATGTCTTTTTAATGTCCTTGTATCAAGAATAGATCTTTAGACCTAACTTAACCAAGATTTCTGGCCCATATTTTCTTCTTTTTTTCCTTTGCTTTGCTTCTCCTTCCTTTTCTCCTTTCCTTTCTCCTTCGCTTTCCCCTTCCTTTTTCTCTTCCCTCTCCCCTTCCCTTCCCCCTCCCCTTCCTTCTCCTCTCCTCTTTCCCTTACTTTTTCCTTTTCCCTTCCTTCTTTTTTGAATGGCTCCCTTTAGGTTTTCTGAGGTTTCCTTGTGACTAGAGTCAGGCAATGCATTTTGGCAAGAATATCACAGAATTGATGCTGCGTTTTTTTCATTGCATCCTATCAGGTGGTACATGATTCCATTTTGTCTCATTACTGACAATGTTTATTTTGACAGGTTGATAATGGTGGTATATAGTAGGCTTCTATCTTGTTATTCTCTATTTCTAGATTCTGTTACTTTATTTTATGTTGTTTTTCCTAAAGGGTAATAGGAATTTTCTCTGTTTCTTTATTTTGTTTTTGTTTATTTCCCTATTTTTATTCCTTACTATACTTTTAGCACATAGTACCTAGTGCAAAATACTAATATATGTTGAACACCAACAGTTGTTGAACAAATGTCTGAAACTGACTCTGTCCTGCTACCACAAAAACATATATATATATATTTTTTTTTTTCCTATAGGGATACCATCAACTACATAGTTGTCTAAGCCAAGACCTCCTGCTAGGACTGATTAAAGCCTGTGCATCCTCATTATCCAGAGCCTGTGTTGCTCCTCTAGAGCTATAGTCAGGCTAACCATTCCTTCTGGTTAATATCTGAAAGGAAGAATCATGCAGCAAGAAGAGAACTGTGAGGGAAGAAAAATGGCACAAACCCAGCCTGGATTTCTCTCTCCCCTTTTAATGATGAATGAATGAAAAAAATTCATCATTAGCTGTAGTTAGTTTCTATTACATAAAAAGGAAGCTGATGAAATATATAACTGAGTTATATACCCACATCCAATTGGTTCTGTTTCTCTGGAGAACTCTATTAAAGAAGTTATTGAGTATTGTTTACATGTACACTGACAAATATGTCTAAAGGTTATGTCTGAACACCTATAAATTTATATCAATGATTCTATATAGTTCATTCTTATTACACTTGATTCTAATTCTTATGAAGTTGATGTTTGGTAGAATGAATGATAAAAGGAGATTCTGTCCCCTATTGAAGTGTTTGTGTAGTTACACGCCAGAGTTTTGGAGATTGAGGAAAAGGTTGAGCTTAAATAATTTTATGGGCAAACTCAATGCTTGAATGTAAGATAGTACTTTACTTTGAAAGATTTGGAGGATTTCATAATGACTTTTACTTTTGCTAATTATTGATACAGTCACTTGTAAATAAGTTTACTTAGGTAAGCTCAAGGAAATCATGCTTTTTCTCAGGCTTATTTTAAATCTGAATATTTTTACTGTCTTTGCTTTTACAAGAAAATATTCATCATTGTATTTTTTGTCTTAATTTTCAAAGTCAAATGTTAATTGTTTTTGTGGGATTACTTTGGCAAATATGGGAGATCCCCAAACAAATTTTAAAAAGTTTTTTCGGCCGGGCGCTGTGGCTCACGCCTGCAATCCCAGCACTTTGGGAGGCTGAGGCGGGCGGATCACGAGGTCAGGAGGTCAAGACCATCCTGGCTAACACAGTGAAACCCCGTCTCTACTAAAAATACAAAAGAATTAGCCGGACGTGGTGGCGGGCGCCTGTAGTCCCAGCTACTCGGGAGGCTGAGGCAGGAGAACGGCGTGAACCCGGGAGGCAGAGCTTGCAGTGAGCTGAGATCGTGCCACTGCACTCCAGCCTGGGCGACAGAGCGAGATTCTGTCTCAAAAAAAAAAAAAAAAAAAAGTTGTTTCTGTTCTCCTTTGTTTTCTACTTTCTCTTAAATAGAAATATATTTCTTGTACAAATAAATGCCATGAATTAAAAAAATAATAAATTATGATTTTCCTTCGTGAGGATCAGTTCTCCTAGACATTGGTTTAGCTAATGCCAGCTATTTGGTATAAAAATCTGTATCCGTGGAGAGGTAAAAAAGAGCTAAAGGAAGCATAAGAAAGACAACCGCATCTTTAAGAAGTTCCTCTTTTTCTTTTTTCTTTTTTTTCTTTTTTTTTTTTGAGACGGAGTCTTGCTTTGTTCCCCATTGTTCCCCAGGCTGGAGTGCAGCGGCGCGATTTCTGCTCAGTGCAAACTCCGCCTCCCGGGTTCACGCCATTCTCCTGCCTCAGCCTCCCGTGCAGCCGGGACTACAAGTGCCCGCTACGGCGCCCAGCTAATTTTTTGTATCTTTAGTAGAGACGGGGTTTCACTGTGTTAACCAGGATGGTCTCGATCTCCTGACCTCGTGATCCACCCGCCTCGGCCTCCCAAAGTGCTGGGATTACAGGCGTGAGCCACAGCACCCGGCCAAGAAGGTTCTCTTAAAAGGAATCACTTCTTGTTTTCTTACAAGTTATAACCTCACTACCCTAGAGTCACATTTTTTAATAACTTATGAATTTTCTGAAACTTCAAATACCCTATGGCCCCATGGTAAAACATCAGATGACATTTGCCTCTCATTTAAACCATTTTTCTTTTCCTCTTTCTTCATTTTTCTTATACTCTCTCATTTCTTTTTCTCTCTTCCTATTTCTCTTTTTCTCTCTGCTTCTTCCTACCTCCCCTCGTGACTTTGTCTCCTCATCCCGTCACCGTGCTACTTAGATGCCACATCAATTTGACTAGCCTCAAATTTACAATGAATACTTTTTAAATTCATGCTTCTGAAACTTTTAAAGGATGAAGAGGTATAAATGTCTCAAATAATAATTTGCTTGATGGCTGAAATGAATGGCATTTCTCAAAAAGGCCAAGGGACTGAATACAGCAATTTAAACAATCACTTTCCGTTAGTGATATGGTTTGGATGGTTTGTCCCCTCCAAATCTCATGTTGAAATGCGACCTCCAGTGTTGGAGGTGGGCCTAGTAATAGGTGTTTGTTTCCCAAGGGTGGATCCCCATGAATGGTTTTGTGCTGTCCTCCCGGTAATGAGTGAGTTCTTGCTCTATGAATTCACGAGAGATCTTGTTGTTTAAAAGAGCCTGGCATCTCCCTTGCTCCCTCTCTCCCCATGTAATATGCCAGCTCCCCCTTTGCCTTAAGCCATGATTGTCAGCTTCCCGGGCCTCAGCAGAAGCTGAGCAGATACTGGTGGCCTGTTTGTACAGCCTGCAAACCATCAGCCAAATACTCCTCTTTTCTTTATAAATTACCCAGTCTCAGGTATTCCTTTATAGCATTGAGATGGACTAACATAGTCAGTTTTGACAACATGAACCTTTCATATTAAAATTTAATTTCTAAATTCACTCATTTACTGTGATTGGTTTATAGCTTTTCTGTAATAATGAATTTTACGTGTGACTTTCAATGTGCTTTAAAACTTGATTCACTTTTTAGCTCTATTTTTGGAAACTACCAGCTTCCACTGTTGAGGCAAAAGTGTCATCATTGAGGCTCTCCTGCTGAGGTAGCTGTTGTCTGATTTCCCTTCAGTTCTACTGCTGTCCCAGTGGAAAAAGGGAATCTTCACCACTTACATGACATGTTTGCCTGAACTCTAATCTTCCACACTTGCTGTAGAAAAGAGTAAAGTGGCAGTTCAGGGCAGTTTACCAATTTAGAAACGGTGTCCGCTCGGTATTTTCCTCTGTGTCACTTACTAAAACATATAAAAGAAACCATGGACATTAAAAGAAAGAGAGAGGTTTAATGTGATATTTTAATTCTAACAAGGATTTATGGGCACATGAATGCCCAAAATCACATACCCCCTTAGTGTTTTTCATCTCACACATATCACATCAGACACATATCACACATATCAGGCACATATCACACAGAACTTACCATAATTAAATTATCAGTTTTTGAAAAATATCATTTGCTCTCTTTTTTTCTATATAAATAAATTTTTTTAAAATATGATTTTCAGTTCTGGGATACATGCACGGAACATGCAGGTTTGTTATATAGGTATACATGTGCCATATAGGTGGTTTCTTATTTGTGTTTTCATCTTATGGCTTTGGCTAGAACTAGATAATAAAAGTATGCATCAATTTAAGAGTTATTTTTAATCATGGTAAGGACATATCTATAACTACTTTGTTAAATTTCATCAGTCATGCATGTTAAATATCATTAAATAAATATCAAAAATGGGCTGCTGTACCAGAATACCATAGACTTGGTGGCTTATAAACAACAGAAAGGAATTTCTCACAGTTCTGGGGTCTGGGAAATCTAAGACCAAGGTACTAGCCAATCTGGTGTCTGGGAAAAACTTTTGTTCTAGTTCAAAGAAGGCTGCCCTTTCTCTATAACCTCAGTTGGGGAAGGAGCAAGGGAGTTCAGGGGGCTGCTTTAGAAGGGTGCTAAACCCATTAATGAGGGCTGCTCTCTCATGACTTAATTAGTTCCCAAAAGCCCCACCTTCAAAAACCCTCACACTGGCGGTTAGCATTTCAACATATGAATTTGAGAGGGATGTAAACATTTAGTCTGTAGCAGTAAATGTACAATATAAGGTAAATAGCTTTATTGTTGTGTTGCATTATATTAATACATATTTTCTAGTATTAAATCTTTGTATGCCAAATCACTGGGGTGGGTGATTTCTTAGTAAGTGTAGAATTCAGTTCCTTTTTCTTTCAGTTAAGAATATTTTAACTATGTTTATAAGGGATACTGTTTAGTAATTTTATTCTTTTTGTATTCACTTCATCAAGAGTTAGTAATAGTTATATTTGCTTTGTAAAATGAACTGAAAGGAAGCCACTTTTTATAACTTTATCCATATTTCCTAGTCTGGGGTCCATTTTACAAGATGTTTTAAACAGATGCTTATTAAAAACACTGGTTATAGGGACTTTAATAAAAATTTTTAAAATAATGTTTTACATTTCTTGCAAACATTGATGCCTGCAACCTATTTACTATTTTTAAAATTAAATTAAGATTCATTTAAGCAGTACATGTTTATTTTAGTGAAACACGTATTTAATTTTCTAAGATAGTATTTTTTGTCTTTAAAACAATTTCTGCATGTTTTGTTTTTTTTTTCACTTTAAATTTTATGTTTTCTCAGTTTTTGTTTTATCACATTTGCTGTATTTTTCTGTATCATGGGTTATTTGTTAAAGAATGAACTTGTGTATGTTTATAAATTGTTACTGTTTTTGTTTATAATTTATTGCCTTCTAACTTAATATGTAATTAGCATTCCTTTTAATTTTGCTTGTATGCTTTGCTGTACCATTTTGAAATTCTTGAGTTAAATGCTTAACTATTTTTTATCAAGTTTAAATATTAAATTAAATATGTCCCATCAGTTTAGTCATTTTAATATTCTCACTCATCAGACATTTTTTGGGAACACCATATGCCTTTTCATGCAGTCAGTTTCAAGAAAATGAAAATTACTTTTTATATGTTTATACTCAAAGCTTGGCTAGAGATAAGTCTCCCCTTCCTTAAGTTGGGGAGAGAGTGATTTCTTCCAGGCTATAGTCAAAAGAGATACAATTATAGTAATTTTTTGTGTTTGTTTGGGTTGTTTCTGTTTGTTTGTTTGTTTGTTTGTTTGAGACGGAGGTTGGATCTTGTTGCCCAGGCTGGAGTGTAGTGGCATAATCTCAGCTCACTGCAACCTCCGCCTCCTGGGTTCAAGCAATTCTAAACATATTTTAGCACAAAACTGTTTAAGATTTCAATTTATATCTTTTTATTATCTTCCATATACTCTTTTGATACATTACCCATTATGTTGATTATTAACGTACACTCAAGTCAAGATCTTTTATTATGTGAGGTCATCAGTCAATGATAACAGATATTGATGAATTAGTCTCCTCATCAGAAATTGAGCAACATTTTCATTCAAGACGACACATGGGCCTTTAAAGCATATTCAATAATACTGAGTCTCAGTCTTCTCCTGCTATTTTCTGAATGTGCATTTAGACCTTTATACATCTATCTATCTACTGACCCATTTATTAAATTTTCAGCATTTACTTTGTACTCCAAGGACCAGAACCATGTTTGTCTTGTTCACTGCTGTACTCCTATTGCAAGGACCTAGAACATAGTAGGAGCTCATTAAACTCTGAGGATTCAAAATAAGTGAATAGAGGTTGTAGCAGGAAGAAGTCTAAGATAGCCCCTATGACCTTCATTTCCTCATGTTACCCTGTTGATACCTCACACGGCAAAGGAGTCTTGCACATGTCACTAAGGCTAATAATCCGTCAGCCTTAAGACGGGGGGAGTACCTGGGTAAACCTAACCTAATCACACCAAAACCTAACAATCAGGGAGTTTTCTACAACTGAGAGTAGAATGGGAAGTCAGAGAGTTTCAGAGTCCAAGAAGCATTTATAGCACCCTTATTGACTTTGAAGATGCTTTGCTTCTTCTTTTGAGTTCAGTTTGAGATTATCTTTCTAATAATTGATTAGATTTTATTCTTGTAAAAAAAGAGATAATTTAAAGGAATCTATTTTTAAATACTCTGAGGAGGGTGATACTAGGGGTGCTGGTTGTCCTGTTTTAACTTTGTCTTAATTTCTAATGTAATTAAATTTTGAGTAGGTAATGTGACCTGTGTGGTTTTTATTTTAAAAAATATATTGAGGTTTTATATAATCTATTTTTAAAATATTCAATGGAAACTTGAAAACATACTGTTTCACATATTCTTGTATATATATATTAAAAATCTTTTTTTATTTATTTTTTATTTTTATTTTTTTTTTGAGACGGAGTCTCGCTCTGTCGCCCAGGCTGGAGTGCAGTGGCGCCATCTGGGCTCACTGCAAGCTCCGCCTCCTGGGTTCACGCCATTCTCCTGCCTCAGCCTCCCGAGTAGCTGGGACTGCAGGCACCCACCACCACGCCCAGCTAATTTTTTGTATTTTTAGTGGAGACAGAGTTTCACCGTGTTAGCCAGGATGGTCTCGATTTCCTGACCTCGTGATCCGCCCGCCTCAGCCTCCCAAAGTGCTGGGATTACAGGCGTGAGCCACTTAGCCCGGCCTAATTATTTGTTTTTTAAAAGATGGTACATAGGAAGAAGTAAATCAGGAAAAGTGGATAGTGATTGGTGGCAGTAGAAGTGAGTCAGTGTTACAGTTACTATTGCTGCTTAAGAAACTAACCCAAATGGCCTGGGTGCCGTGGCTCACGCCTGTAATCCCAGCAGTTTGGGAGGCTGAGACGGGCGGATCATGAGTTCAGGAGATCGAGACCATCCTGCCTAATACGGTGAAACTCTGTCTCTACTAAAAATACAAAAGTTAGCCTGGCCTGGTGGTGGTGGGCGCCTTAAGTCCCAGCTACTCGGGAGGCTGAGGCAGGAGAATGGCGTGAACCCGGGAGGCGGAGCTTGCTGTGAGCCGAGATCGCGCCACTGCAGTCCAGCCTGGGCGACAGAGGGAGACTCCGTCTCAAAAAAAAAAAAATTAAAAAAAAGAAAAAGAAAAAAGAAACTACCCTAAATTTAATAAGGTAAAACAACGACCACTTCATTATATCTCATGGATCCTATAGGTGAGAAATTCCAGCAGGATTCATCTGAGTGATTCTTCCTCTCTCACATCATTAACTAGGGTGACTCAGTGCTAGTCGGCTGGCAAACAAGTCAGTCTGGAAGGTGCAAGGTGCTTTTTTTCTGTCTTATAAATTGGTGGAGTTGTCTGGAAGGCAAGGCTCAGATGGGAAGGACTCTTAGTTATAGTGCCTGCACAGGGTAAACTTTTTTTTTTTCTTTTTTTTTTGAGACGGAGTCTCACTGTCCCCCAGGCTGGAGTGGTGTGGCCCGATCTCGGCTAACTGCAAGCTCCGCCTCCCGGGTTCACGCCATTCTCCTGCCTCAGCCTCCCGAGTAGCTGGGACTACAGGCGCCCACCACCAGGCCCAGCTATTTTTTTGTATTTTTAGTAGAGACGGGGTTTCACCGTGTTAGCCAGGATGGTCTCGATCTCCTGACCTCGTGATCCACCCGCCTTGGCCTCCCAAAGTGCTGGGATTACAGGCCTGAGCCACCGCGCCCGGCCTGCACAGGGTAAACTTCTTATATGGCTGCTGGCTTTCCGCAGATCAAACACTCCAAGGGAACCAGGTGGAAAAGGCCTGGTCTCTTTTTATCTCACCTTAAAGGTCAGGTAGAATTATTTGTCATACTCTATTGATTGTAGCAGTCACAAGCACGTCCAGATTTAGGGAAGGGAGACATAGACCTATTTTTTGATGAGAAGAATATCAACCTGTTTTTGGACTATGTTTAAAACTGCCACACATGACAATTACACACCAGGTAGAAGGCATTTGGCGACAGACTTCTTGAAGGAAATGAGGAGGAATCGTGCTCTGCTGAAAAAAGAGCATTCCAAAGAGAGACCACAGCTTGGGCAAAAGCCCTGAGTCGGAATCATGTGGACTTATTCTTAGAACAGCATCGAGGAAGCCATTATAGCTGGAGTAGAATGAGAAGGGGGAAGAGTATTAGTAGATGGTGGCAGAGAAATAAACATGAGAAGACGGATGATGGAACGAGCACCTTGTACGTCATTTTAAGGACTTTGGCTGTTCCTCAAACTGACATGGGACCATTGAAAGATTTTTTTATTTTTTATTTTTTAAATTTAACTTTTAAGTTCAGTGGTACACGTGCAGGTTTGTTATGTAGGTAAACTTGTGTCATGGGGGTTTGTTGTACGGATTATTCTGTTACCCACATGGTAAACCTGCTACCCACTAGTTGTCTTTCCTGATCCTCTCCCTCCTCCCAGCTTTCACCCTCCTTTTCAAAATAAGACATACATGCAGCCAACAAACATAGAAAAAAAGCTCAGCATCACTGATCATTAAAGAAATGCACATCAGAAGTACAATGAGATACTATCTCACACCATTCAGAATGGTTATTATTAAAAAGCCAAAAAATAACATGCTGGCAATATTGTGGAGAAAAGGCAACATTTCTACACTGTTGGTGGGAGTGTAAATTAGTTCAGCCATTGTGGAAGACAGTGTGGTGATTCCTCAAAGACCTAAAAGAACTACCATTCGACCCGGCAATCCTATTACTGGGTATACACCCAAAGGAATATAAATTGTTCTGTCATAAAGACACATGCATGCATATGTTTATTGCAGCGCTATTCACAGTAGCAAAGGCATGGAATCAACATAAATGCCCATCAATGGTAGACTGGATAAAGAAAATGTGGTATATATACACCATGGCATATTATGCCACCATAAAAGATGAGATCACGCCCTTTGTAGGAACATGGATGGAGCTGGAAGCCATTATCCTTAGCCAACTAATGCAGGAACAGAAAACCAAATGTTCCCACTTAGAAGCGAGAGTCAAAGGGGAGAATACATGAACACGTAGAGGGGAACAACATTGAAAGATATAAGCAAAGAAGTGATATCATCTGAATTGCATTTCTGAGATTTCTCTGGCACTTGTGTAAAAAATAGCTGAAAGGAATCAACGGCAGAAGCTGGGAGACCAGTTAGGGAGCTTTTGCAATAACCATAAGAGGAAATATGTGTGGCTTAGACTAGGAATCGTCAGGTTGGGAGTGCTCATTCAAATGTGGTCAGAATCCGGACATTTTGAGTGAGCCTACAGAAAGCTTTAATACTATCTCAAACTAAAGGATATAGAAGGTTTTCCCTTTCTCTTGCCCTGAAACCTTCTGTATCCTTTATTTTGAGATAGTATTAGAATTCTTACTATCTTACTGACAATTCTCACTATCTTGTTTTATAACTTGGAACATGATTATAATTATAGTATTGTTAAATATTTTATTTTTATTTTATAATTATACTTTAAAAATATTATTTTGGTAAATAATCATAAAATATGAAAAATAAATCTTTCCATTAACTGAATCAATTGTCCCCTTGCAGGATTTTGGCTTCACAACTTCCTAATCCTTGAAATATTAATTTTGATTATTTTTCTAATATGTACCCATATGTCTTTGAGTAAATTTTTATTGGAAGGACAAATCAGTGCTGGATATACAGATGCCATTGCTTCGTACTCAGGTAAAGACAACCTGATATTTATGATCCTCTTGATCATATTTTTATTCTCTTAAAATCTTTATGTCTTCTAATAATGTTAACAGAGAAGAAAAAAAGTCTTATCTAAGCCTGACTTTTTATTTTTAAGGAAGTTTTTTTATTTATTTGTAAAATTCAGGAGTTTGGCTAGTTGTTATTTAAATATGGAGAACTCTTCCTTGTTTCTTCCCCCTCCCTGCCTAGAAGCTGGTTGGTGCTTTTATTATTCGTACTTCAGTGATAGCTTTGATTATTGTTTCAGATCTCCTTGCCCTTGTGTCTTTCCCCAGTACACAAACTATTCTCGAGGTGGAACCTGTGGTCTCTGGCATACCCATCCGCCTTCTTCTCTGTCATTAGTTCATCTCTTCCTTTGCCCTCCAGAGCTCTGATTCAATTGCTGCTTGAACTTTTCAGTGTGTCAGTTTCTTTCTCCACGGATTTCCCTGTGGATGGAAAATCTGCCCTTGCACTTTAGTTTTCATAGAAGCCTCATCTCAGCTATCTCCCATTTTGTGATATGAGCCTCTTTTGTTATTGTAGCCTTCATCTCCTATTTCCTAAATTCCATGTGTTTCTACATACTGTTCATAGACAAATAGTTTAAAGCAATGGTCTATAGTTTCTTGTGGTTTGAAAGTCATATATTTTTAAATACGTTTTCTCCCCCTGAGAATTCAGCATACAGTTTCATTTTTCTTGTACGCAGGATGATTTTTAGGATTTTTTTTCTGTTATATTTTTTCCATTCTGGTTACCTAGAAGGTAGTGATTATTACCCCAAACCAGGGTTTGATACTGTGTTAGTCCACTTTCATACTGCTATGAAGAAATACCTGAGACTGGGTAATTTATAAAGAAAAAAAGGTTTAATGGACTCAGTTCCACGTGGCTGGGGAAGCCTCACAATCATGGCAGAAGGCAAAGGAGGAGCAAAGACATGTCTTACATGGTGGCAGGCAAGAGAGAGAGCATGTGCAGGGGAACTCCCCTTTATAAAACCATCAGATCTTGTGAGACTTATTCGGTTTCACAAGAACAACACAGGGAGAAACCCATCCCCATGATTCAGTTACCTCCCACTGGGTCCCTTTCATGACATATGGGGATTATGGGAGCTACAATTCAAGATGAGATTTGGGTAGGGACATAGCCAAACCATATCATTCTTCCCCTGGCGCCTCCTGAATCTCATGTTCTCACATTTCAAAATCAATCATGCCTTCCCAACAGTCCCCCAAAGTTTTAACTCGTTTCAACATTAACTGAAAAGTCCACAGTCCAAGGTCTCATCTGAGACAAGTCCCTTCCACCTATGAGCCTGTAAAACTAAAAGCAAGTTAGTTACTTCCTACATACAATGGGGGTACAGGCATTGGGTACCCCCAGTGTATCTACACCTGTTCCAGATGGGAGACATTGGTCAAAACAAAGGGGCTACAGGCTCCATGCAAGTCTGAAATCCAATAGGGCAGTCATTAAACGTTAAAGTTCCAAAATGATCTCCTTTGACTCCGTGTCTCACATGCAGGTCACACTGACGCAAGTGGTGGTCTCCCATGGCCTTGGGCAGCTCTGCCTCTGTGGCTTTGCAGGGTACAGCCTCCCTCCTGGCTGCTTTCACTGGCTGGCATTGTCTGTGGCTTTTCCAGGTACACAGTGTAAACTGTTTGTGGATCTACCAATTGGGGGTTTGGAGGGCAGCGGCCCTCTTCTCATAGCTCCACTAGGCATTGCCCCAGTAGGGACTCTGTATGGGAGACAGAGCCCACATTTCAATTCTCTACTACCCTGGAAGAGGTTCTTCATGAGCCCCTGCTCCTGCCCCCGCACCCCACCAGAGCAAACTTCTGCCTGAACATCCAAGTGTTTCCATACATTCTCTGAAATCTAGGTGGAGGGTCCCAAACCTCAATTCTTGACTTCTGTGCGCCTGCAGGCTCAACATCTTGTGGAAGCTGCCAAGGCTTGGGGCTGCAACCTCCGAAGACATGGCCTGAGCTGTAGCCTGGTGTCTCCCACCCCAGCCATGGCTGGAGTGGCTGGAATGCCGGGCACCAAGTCTCAAGGCTGCACACAGCAGGGGGACCTGGACCTGCTCCAGGAAATCATTTTTCCATACTAGGCTTTTGAGCCTGTGATGGAAAGAGCTGCCGTGAAGGTGTTAAGGTCTTTAATGTTCTGGAGACATTTTCCCCATTGTCTTGGTGATTACATTTGGCTCCTTGTTACTTATGCAAATTTCTGCAGGAGGCTTTAATGAAAGTCGGTTTTTCTTTTCTTTTCTTTTCTTTTTTTTTTGGATTGGGAGTCTCACTCTCTTGCCCAGGCTGGAGTGCAGTGCCGCAATCTGGGCTCACTGCAAGCTCCGCCTCCCAGGTTCACGCCATTCCTCAGCCTCCCAAGTAGCTGGGACTACAGGTGCCCGCCACCACGCCTGGCTAATTTTTTTGTATTTTTTTAGTAGAGACAGGGTTTCACCGTGTTAGCCAGGATGGTCTGGATTTGCTGACCTCGTGATCCGCCCGCCTCAGCCTCTCAAAGTGCTGGGACTACAGGCGTGAGCCACCGCGCCCGGCCAAAAAGTCTTATACATTATATTGCTCAAATTTTATCCTTTAATAAGTCATAACGGAGAAACATGCTAATGATTTCACAATTAAATGTGACGTTCATTTAGTGTTTTGCTTTGTAATATTAAATATTTTATTGTTTTCCATGGGATACCTTTTCCTTTAAAATTCTACTTTATGTGAAATCGATGATGTTATAAATAGTCTTTGATTTTTACTTTATTAATCTTTGTACATTTTAATATCGTTAAACTTACAGGAACAGTTTGTACGCTTCATGGAAATAGAGTAGAGTAATAGAGTTTGATTATTTGTTTTGTTTTCAGCTGAGGGTTTTTTTTTTTGGTAATTTCAGTCTTAGAGTCTTTCTTTTCAGCAGTTAGTGGTATAATTCATATTTGCTTCTCATAGCTGATTTTTTGTTTTAACTTTTGTGAACTTGCTTATAGTTTCTTTACAACTATTAGGCCGGTGCAAAAGTTATTGAAGTTTTCACTAATTATTATTATTATTATTATTTTGAGGCGGACTCTCCCTCTGTCGCCCAGGCTGGAGTGCAGTGGCGCGATCTCAGCTCACTGCAAGCTCCGCCTCCCGGGTTCACGCCATTTTCTTGCCTCAGCCTCCCGAGTAGCTGGGACTGCAGGCCCCGGTCACCACGCCTGGCTAATTTTTTGTATTTTTAGCGGAGATGGCGTTTCACCATATTAGCTAGGATGGTCTCGATCTCCTGACCTCGTGATCCGCCCGCCTCAGCCTCCCAAAGTGCTGGGATTACAGGCGTGAGCCACTGCACCCGGCCTAATTATTTGTTTTTTAAAAGATGGTACATACGAGGAAGTAAATCAGGAAAGGAGGATAGTGATTGGTGGCAGTAGAAGTGAGTCAGTGTTACAGTTACTATTGCTGCTTAAGAAACTACCCCAAATGGCCCGGGCGCTGTGGCTCACGCCTGTAATCCCAGCACTTTGGGAGGCTGAGACGGGCGGATCACGAGTTCAGGAGATCGAGACCATCCTGCCTAACACGGTGAAACCCCGTCTCTACTAAAAATACAAAAGTTAGCCGGGCGTGGTGGTGGGTGACTGTAGTCCCAGCTACTCGGGTGGCTGAGGCAGGAGAATGGTGTGAACCCGGGAGGCGGAGCTTGCGGTGAGCCGAGATTGCGCCACTGCACTCCAGCTTGGGCCACAGAGTGAGACTCCGTCTCAAAAAAAAAAAAGAAAAAAGAAAAAAAAAAGAAAAAAGAAACTACCCCAAATTTAATAAGGTAAAACAACGACCACTTCATTGTATCTCATGGATCCTATAGGTGAGAAATTCCAGCAGGATTCGTCTGAGTGATTCTTCCTCTCTCATATCATTAACTAGGGTGACTCAGTGCTATGCGGCTGGCAAACAAGTCAGTCTGGAAGGTGCAAGGTGCTTTTTTTCTGTCTTATGTATTGGTGGGGTTGTCTGGAAGGCAAGGCTCAGATGGGAGGGACTCGTAGTTATAGTGCCTGCATAGGGTGAACTTCTTTTTTTTTTTTTTTTAGACGGAGTCTCACTGTCCCCCAGGCTGGAGTGGTGTGGCCCGATCTCGGCTCACTGCAAGCTCCGCCTCCCGGGTTCACGCCATTCTCCTGCCTCAGCCTCCCGAGTAGCTGGGACTACAGGCGCCCACCACCAGGCCCGGCTAATTTTTTGTATTTTTAGTAGAGACGGGGTTTCACCGTGTTAGCCAGGATGGTCTCGATCTCCTGACCTCGTGATCCGCCCTCCTCGGCCTCCCAAAGTGCTGGGATTACAGGCCTGAGCCACCGCGCCCGGCCTGTGCTCACCCATATTTCTGTTTGCTGTGTGGTGCAGTGCGACCACACGGTTCTTCAGACACAACCTCTGCTTTCTCATTTACCTCAACACTTTAACCCTTAGATTCTTTTTTACTATACTTCAGTGTATTTCCCAGACATATATTGTCTATGAGGGATAAAATAAAATATCAATTAAAAACAAAAAAATTCAGAGAAATATTAACCATTCACTCTTCTAAGTTCTCAAAGGTTACATTCTTCACCAAATCATATAACCAGGTCCCAATAAAATACCATCATGCAGGGAATTTAACATCATGTAGTTTAAAATACCATCATGCGGGCAGCTTTCAACTAAGCATCCTGTAAGAAAAGATCATTTGTTCTTACATCTTTAAAAGTTTGGAAATTGCTATGGAAGATTATTTTTATTATATTGTCCATTGTCTGTTGCTTAAAGACATATATTTTGCTTGAGTTTAGAGTTACCAAAAAATAGTTGCTGATATATCCAGATACTATTTTATTAACTAACAATACCTATTTGAATTCTGGTTTTCCTTTTGGCCTTTAAGAACAAGGGGCTTAGGACTAAATTTTAGGCTGAAGGGTAGTGTTTCCTTCCCTAGGTTGTCCCATGTAATTGTCACCTCTTTCTCTTCATTATTCTGTCATTTTGCGCTTGTTTTATAGTGTCTGTGCCTTTCATTCTAAGCTGTCTCAGGGGCTTTTCTGGAAATACACAGTGTATAAGTACAAAATGATGAAATAAACATGCTTCTTTTTTTTTTTTTTTTTTTTTAAGACGGAGTCTCACTCTATTGCCCAGACTGGAGTGCAGTGGCACGATCTCGGCTCACTGCAAGCTCTGCCTCCTGGGTTCACTCCATTCTCCGGCCTCAGCCTCGCGAGTAGCTGGGACTACAGGCACCTGCCACCATGTCCGGCTAATTTTTTGTATTTTTAGTAGAGACGGGGTTTCACCATGTTAGGCAGGATGGTCTCGATCTCCTGACCTTGTGATCTGCCCGCCTTGGCCTCCCAAAGTGCTGGGATTACAGGCGTGAGCCACCGCATCAGGCCAACACACGTCTTTATTTTGTTTTCAAAGATGCTTGGGTGGGACTAGATGACCTCTAAGGTCCTTTCCAGCTCTAAATTTACGTTACTTTCACCAAAGACAGACAAAAAAAAAATCTGTTAGGTTATAGGTCTAGAGATGAGTGCCAAGTACTATATTCCTGCTCTAGGTGCATTTCTTGTTGAAGGCAGTGCTAGATTCAGTGACCTGTTACGGCCGTTTACAGTCTTATGGTGATAAAACAAGAGAACTGATTGCTAAAAAAAAAAAAAAAAATTCAGTTGAAATATCTTTTTACTCTTAAGCATCAACAAAAAATAAATAGAAAACAGAAGAGTTGAATTATTTAGTTTGAGCTATTTGTAATAAATTTGGACAACTAAGCTAAGCCCGAGTGTAGTTAATTCAATGAAATTAGTCATATTTGAATATTGTCACAACCTTACTACCACATTAGCATTAAGTGTGATTAAAATTTATTCTTTGTTTCTGTGTGAGTCTCCACAGAATCAGCTATCAACACCTTCATAATAAACTAGCCCTTCATTGCTTTCAGGAAACTTTTTGATTCAGAGCAGGTGGTTGGGCTTCTGCTTTAAAAGAGAACAAATCATTTTTAACGTCCCTTTCCTGTTTGTGTGTGTGAATTTAGAACACAGAAATTATCCATTGCATTGTTTATTTTTGCTAGGAGGTAGAAGTTCTTAAAAATATAGGAAATACTAGATATCATGTACTGATAATTTCCAAAGCTAATTATTTTTCTTAAGTCCAAGCTATAATTTAAGAGGCGTACTTGTGAAATATGAATATTGTTTTAGAGTAATAAAATGTTTCTCATGGAAAAATAGAATATGATTTTGTCGAAGTTCAAGGGAATATCCATTTTCATTCAGGTAGCTTCCAGATTTTTGTCTTTACATGTTCTGTGTAGTGATTTAAATACCGTACCTCCAAAATTTATGTCCATTAGGAACTTTAGAATGTGATTTTATTTGGAAGTAGGGTCTTTGCAGATATAATTAACCCAGTGATTGAGATGAGGTCATCCTGGGTGAAGGTGGGCCCTAAATCCAGTGTAAATGTCCTTATAACATACAGGAAAAGACACACACAAGGTCATGTGAAGATGGAGACAGAAATTGGAGTTATGCAGTCATAAATCAAAGAAGGTCAAGGATTGCCAGGAGCCACTGGAAGCCAGGAAGAAGCGAGGGAGAATTCTTCCCTAGGGTCTTCAGGGGGAGTGTGGCCCCGCCAACATCTTGATTTCAGAGGTCCAGGCTTCCGAACTATGAGAGAATATATTTCTGTCCTCTTAACCCACCAAGTGTGTGATAATTAGGTATGATGGCCCTAGGCAACTACTACACTCTAATTCAGAAGTTCTTCTGGATTTTATTGTATCATGTGTTGGTAGGAAGTACCTGGCTGTTTCATTTGCATGATATGTGGGTAATCTTAGAATTATCATATCTTGCAAGTAATTTTAAAGTATGTTGTAATGTAGTCAGAAGCTTTTTAAATATGAAATTTAATTCATGCTGGTGTCAACTACATTTGAAAAAATACAAAAAAGCTATATAAGATTCTAGGATCTTTCAGAATTTTATAATGTTTATAATGGACAGTTGGTTAAATAAAAATTGTACCCTAAACAATTTTGTTGTTGGCTTAAAATAGCATTTAATTTATTAGTGCTCAGATAATAGTTATCCCCTAAATAGCATTTTTACTTTCATATGTTGATATCAAACAGTGAAGTGAGACAGCAAATCAGTACAACGTGGTGATTATCAAACATCATAAATCCATGAAGGATAGCCTTGATCTTACTGAGAAGAGTTTAATTTTAAAACGCATACCTGGAAAAGGCAACTTAGATTAACATTTCAAACTCACATAGCATTATTTGTGATTGATTATAGTTATAATTGATCATTTTACTTTTGGACCGTCACTTTGAATCAAACTGGGATAAATATAAATTAAAGATTGATTATTTGCTTTGAATTTTAGATTAAAAAATTCAAAAACCATAAAAACAGAGCTTTGACTATAATAAAGGTATTTATCCTTTCTTGGTAAGAATTGGGGAGGGGTTTAAGAAAAGGCTAAGCAATGTTCTATTTTTTACATAGGCAAAAGTTCATTTGTGCTACTTTTTAATTAGGTAGTTTGTTGTTTTTTAAATGACAGCTTCCTAAACACTACTGATTTTACATGTGCAGTCATTAGCTTTTCATGTGGAAATAGTATCTTTCAAATTCACGCAGCTGCTTATTTTATGAAATGCAATGGGACTACTTACTTGCCACCTGTCTAAACTGGAATGCATAGATTCATGCCTTGCCAAATGAGGAGTTAGGGTGAAAAGTGATTAACGTCCGTTCTTTAATGAGTTTCTAAGTCTTTCTGAACATGTTTTTATTCTATTTATTGCAGTGGTATACTAACATTTTCGTGTTGGTTGCTGTACAAAGCATGATAATACCTTTATTAAAGCAATGTTAATGACATCCATAAGATATCATAAAATATTATATTCTTAATAGGAAATTTGTTATATATAAATAACAATAAAGATCGTAATAAGCTCTCCTTAATTCTGTTTATTTTGACTTCATTATTAAGTTTGGAAACATAGGTGTCAAATTTAGACATTATTTATATGTAATTATAAAGCCAAATAAATGTTAGAGATTAACTTAAAAAGAGTTTTGTGGCTTAACAATTGAAGTGAGATAGTGAGATCACAAGGGGCTTAATCATTCTGAATTGATTCTACAGATGTCTCCTTTCTCTAAATGCCCTGTAAGCTTCCTATCTTCCATGAAAGTTTATTCCCATAATCCTGGCACATAAAATTAGTCATATAACTCTTTTCCATTCTGAGATTTCAAGGATTAGGACTTTCAACATAGAGAAAACGTGCTGTGTAGAAGCTGAATGTACAAAAGGCAACACTTGGCAACGGAATCCAGTATTTCCCAAGTATTTGAGGAAACTTACAAAACCCAAATCTCTAGTACTTGCTTTCACATTTGCTATCAGAACCAGGAAGGGAGGCCTAGAAATGGTTTGAATGGAAAATTTGTTGTTGTAGAAGGGGTTCCCATTCACTGGTGAATAGACACAACGTATTTCCCAACCTTCTTTTAATCCAAGATAGCAACATTTTTACTGGAGCCAAAGATAAAACCAGTATTTAATCTCCTAGAAATTAGGAGATTTATGACTCTGGAAATGGAAAGAATTTTCATATCCAGCCACATAACCAAGTCATGCAAGAACATAATAAACAAACCAATCAAACAACAAGAATAACAACCACAACATGGTCCCCATTCTGTCTTTAACCTCTGATAGAAAGAGCAGTAATGGTAAGACGAGAAAGCTCTCGTCAAGTGTTTTCCTCATCTACTGTTAATGATTTATTCTTACATCCTGTCCCAGTCCAATTATCAAAAAATTCTAAGAGAGATCCCTTTAACTGACTTGTAATGAATTCCAGGGTCACATTCCAGATATTGTTTTCCCCTGAAGTCGTGTAAGTGCACCTCAAAATACTATACTTTTGGTGTGAATCTGAGCCAAATTCTATTGTATTCTAAATAAAGTGAAACTCCTATCAGCCAATAGGGCACGGTATCAGTTTCAAATAAGACAAGTTGGTAAAGTCAGGAGAAATGACTTCCTCCTTCCTCCTGATGTGCTGTATATAGATGTATTAGCACTGCCTTTTAATATTTTATGTGTTCAACAGAGAGGGAACTAACATCTTGTTAATCCTCATTTGAAAACAATTTTGCGAATGTAAATGTAGCAGGGCTTTTGCCTTTTTTCCTTCTTCATGAAAAACAAGTAGTGCTTGGGGAGCAAGTGTTCCTGTTCAACTGCTGTCACTCATTCCCAGCTCTGTTTAGAAGAAATAAGCACAGATGGTTGGTCTACTACTTCCCCAACGAAAAATTTGCCTGTTGGCCGGGCGCAGTGGCTCAAGCCTGTAATCCCAGCACTTTGGGAGACCGAGGCGGGCAGATCACAAGGTCAGGAGATGGAGACCATCCTGGCTAACACGGTGAAACCCCGTCTCCACTAAAAATACAAAAAATTAGCTGGGCACGGTGGCGGACGCCTGTAGTCCCAGCTACTTCGAAGGCTGAGGCAGGAGAATGACGGGAACCCGGGAGGCGGAGCTTGCAGTGAGCAGAGATCGCGCCACTGCACTCCAGCCTGGGCGACAGAGCAAGACTCCGCCTCAAAAAAAAAAAAAAATTGCTTACCTTTTTTGTGTTTTATTCCATCCTTCTCATTGTCATGTGAACAGTATTTCAAGGGAAGAAACTTCTGTAGGGATCTTTGAAATGTTTATCCACTGCTTGTGCATGAAAGAGAAAAAGAAGAAATTAATGATTTATTAAAATTTCATGAGGGGAACTCAAAAACGCTTTGTTACAAAAAAATTTAATTTAGAAACCGTGTATTTTGCATGCAAAATTAAAGTCTTCAGGGAAGTAAGTTTTTATATCAGACTTGCATCCTAAAGTACTCATTTAATGATGACAGAACCACTTCATCCATGTTAAAAATACCTGTGTGGGTCTTTTTTATTTATACTGTGGCTTAATGAAAATTTGTCTATTGTAAATATATTAAGAAAAAGAGCATAAAGACTTTTTAACATAATTTTCTAACGCTGAAAATACATACAAACAGTAAAATACCCAAATCTTAACTGTACAGCTCAATACTTCTTTTGTTTTTAAACAAACTTAGCCCTTCTGTGTATCCAGTACTCAAATCAGGAAATTTTATATTATTACTTCTTCTAGACACTATTTCATAGGATAGCTCTTATGGTGATTTGGAACATAACTGATGAGTTTTACAATTTTTAGTGAATTAGATCGTAGTATATGTTCTGTATCTTGCTTCTTTCATTCAATATTTAGTTTATAAGATTTGTTAATCTTTTTGCATATAGTTGTAATTTGTTAGGTTCTCATTGCTATATACTATATCATTATACAAATATAAGTTCAATTTGTGGTTATTTTGAATGGTGCCTCTCTGAGCATTCATGTATTTGTCTTTTGGTAAATATTGCTGGGTATATGCTCAGGGTCATAGAATATGGTCAGATTTAGCATACATGGAAAATGGTGGTGTCCATCAGTTTACATTTCCATCCACAATGGGAGAGAGTTCTAGTTGCTCCGCATCTTTGCCAACACTTGGTATCATTTCTCTCTTTCATTTGAACTGTTCTGATGTGTATGTATCACTATTTCAATTGTGGTTATTTTGAAGATTACAAAATTGGCAAAGAATAACTGATTTTATTAAATCATATTTCATTTGAAGTAACGTGGGTCTACTTTGCAGTATTTTTCCCTATTTACATGATTCATAAGAAGAGTGATCATGAGATAGTCAACAATATAACAGCTTGGAATGAGATTTTTGATCAGCTATAATTGTAATGTATTTTATCTAAATATTATTTAACTGTATTAGTAACTGTGATCATTAAGAACAGAAACAAAAGGTAAGCAAGTCCTTAGATTAACATGAAACAACATTCCTGCCTTTTGAAAGAAACTTTTCTGACCTGTGAGTAAATGATGTAAATCAATTAATAGCTTAACTGAAATTAAGAGATGAGTCTCAGCTTTCATTGCCTATATTATATCTGTGTTTCTGGAGAAACAAAAAAACAGTATGACAAACCTACAGTCTGCTAGTTTCTTCTCACCCTGCCAACAACTGTTATATTACTGTTTAGCTGGTTATGTGCAACCATTTGTTCAGGATTGTTTTGTTTTGCTTAGTTTTACTTTTTAAGGCAGAGTCTTGCTCTGTTGCCCAGGCTTGAGGTCTATGAGTTACACTCAGGGTCACATGGTCAACGAGATGTAATCACAGCTCACTGCAGCCTTAATCTCCTGGGCTCACGTGATCCCCCTGCCTCTGCTTCCTCAGTAGCTGGGACTACAGGTGCATGCCACGACACCCGGCTTGTTGAGCAGAGTTTTGATGAAAATCATTCTTCCCTTCTTAATCACAAACAGTGAAACCTTAGAAAATGTAATTAGAGAGAAAAATAACATTTTGCACCAAGCTAATTGTATCTTTACCTTTTATTAGTTGGTTTCAGGATTGGTACTTGTTGATGGTTCTGTTTTGGAGTGTGCGTTCCCTGGGTTTAACTCCTTGCAGCACACTTTATATACATTGTGTGGCCTTACTTGAGTAACTTAAGTTGCTTAACTTCTCCAGATCCCAGATTCTCAACCTGTAGAATGGAAGTAATTATAATACAAACATTATGTGGTGGGTTAGTCCAGGTCCTCCAAGAGGTAGATGTTGAAAACGAGTTAAACACAAGAGGATTTTATTAAGGGAAATCCCTGTGAGAGAAAATGGAGAGGAAGCTGAGTAAGCCTGGAAGAGGTCTCAGCTATGAGGCAAGTCTGACCTAGAATGAAGGAAAGAGGAAAGGAAGGTTGAGTGGAAGCATTGGAGCGTAATGTACAGTCTAAGGAAGGGTGAGAAAAGGCTTCAGGGAATCCTGAGCCAAGACTGGTCCTCAGAGAAGCCCTGTGTCTCCTAAAGAGGGATCTGCATTAGCCACCCTGTGGCCCTCAGTCATTGACTGAGGGGCAGATGCAGAAACAGATTTTAGAGTGAAGCAGCAAGTGGCCGTAGGCAGTTAGGCTTCCCATACTTTGAGGTCTATGAGTTTATTTATTTATTTATTATTTATTTATTTAAATTATACTTTAAGCTCTGGGTTACATGTGCAGAACTTGCAGTTTTGTTTCATAGGTATACACATGCCATGGTGGTTTGCTGCACCCATCAACCCGTCACCTACATTAGGTATTTCTCCTAATGTTATCCCTCCCCTACACCCCCACACCCCACAGGCCCCAGTGTGTGATGATCCCCTCCCTGTGTCCATGTGTTCTCATTGTTCAACTCCTGCTTTATGAGTGAGAACATGCGGCGTTTGGTTCTCTGATCTTGTGATAGTTTGCTGAGAATGATGGTTTCCAGCTTCATGCATGTCCCTGCAAAGGACATGAACTCATGTCCTTTTTTATGGCTGCATAGTATTCCATGGTATATATGTGCCACATTTTCTTAATCCAGTCTATCATTGATGGACATTTGGGTTGGTTCCAAGTCTTTGCTATTGTGAATAGTGCCACAATAAACATACGTGTGCATGTGTCTTTATCGTAGAATGACTTATAATCTTTTGAGTATATGCCCAGTAATGGGATTGCTGGGTCAAATGGTATTTCTAGTTCTAGATCCTTGAGGAATTCACACACTGTCTTCCACAATGGTTGAAGTAAATTACACTCCCACCAATAGTGTAAAAGCATTCCTATTTTTCCACAACCTCTCCAGCATCTGTTGTTTCCTGACTTTTTAAGGACTGCCATTCTAACTGGAGTGAGATGGTATCTCATTGTGGTTTAGATTTGCATTTCTCTAATGCAGGTCTATGAGTTTCTTATTCATGGTCACTAAAAGATGTTTATCATGAATTGAAATCTCCAGATAAGAGTAAAGCAATGCCTAATTCATAGTTACGCACTTATCAATTTATTTATTCATATTATTCATTATCGTTATGAATATTCAACACATTAATAAAAGAGTCACATGTGCAATCTACTTGGGGTATTGGGAGAGTAAAGAATAACATAGTGGTGCTACAGGTAATTTAAGAGATGGTTTCTCTCTCTCTCTCTCTCTCTCTCTCTGTGTGTATATATATATATATATATATATATATATATATATATATATATATATATATATGAGACACAGGTATAATTATTTTCCTTCTACTATTTGTTATTGATGTATACTGCCAAATCCCTAACGGATACTGGAATACTTAACTCTAAGCTCCCCCCACGCCTACAAAAGAAGTGGGTACAAGGTTATTTTTTAAATCAAAAGATTTATTAATAGTATTTTTATCATGTCCAATTGATATTATCATTATCAAAAAGTTTAATCACTTATTATTACTTGAAGGACCTCGTTAGGAAATATTCGATCCCCTTTTTTTGGTTTTTTTTTTTTTTTTTGAGACAGAGTCTCATTCTGTCACCCAGGCTGGAGTGCAGTGAGGTGATCTCGGCTCACTGCAAGCTCTGCCTCCCGGGTTCACGCCATTCTCCTGCCTCAGCCTCCCGAGTAGCTGGGACTACAGGCGCCCGCCACCACGCCCGGCTAATTTTTTGTATTTTTAGTAGAGACGGGGTTTCACCGTGTTAGCCAGGATGGTCTCCATCTCCTGACCTCGTGATCTGCCCGCCTCGGACTCCCAAAGTGCTGGGATTACGGGCGTGAGCCACCGCGCCTGGCCTGTTCCACTTCTTAAAACTGGTCACTGGAAGTACATCGTCTTGGGAAGAACTGGATATTTCTTGAAACCCCTTTCATATAGCCATATTCTCAAACATAGAACCTTCTTTTATTTTTTTCAAAGATTTTTTTCCATTACTGTAGAAAATTCAGAGGGTGTTTATGGATAGTGCAGTACTCCGCTCAAATACAGGGAACGAAAGTTACATTAAAATGATAATATTTTTTGCTGAAAAGTATTATGATATTTAATGTAAGCAAACAAATGACTCAGGTGATAGTGTTTTGTTTTCATTTTTTAAATGTCTTGGCCGGGCGCGGTGGCTCAAGCGTGTAATCCCAGCACTTTGGGAGGCCAAGGCGGGCGGATCATGAGGTCAGGAGATCGAGACCATCCTGGCTAACACAGTGAAACCCCGTCTCTACTAAAAATACAAAAATTAGCCGGGCGTACTGGCGGGAGCCTGTAGTCCCAGCTACTCGGGAGGCTAAGGCAGGAGAATGGCGTGAACCCGGGAGGCGGAGCTTGCAGTGAGCCGAGATTGCGCCACTGCACTCCAGCCTGGGCGACAGAGCCAGACTCCGTCTCAAAAAAATAAATAAATAAAAATAAATAAATAAATAAATGTCTTACTTCAATAGCTTTTGGAGCACAAGTGGTTTAGGTAACATGGATAATTTGTATAGTGGTGAAGTCTGAGATTTTATTGCACCTGTCACCTGAGTAGTGTACATTGTACCAAACATGTAGCTTTTTTATTCCACACCCACCTGCCAACTTCCCCCTTATGAATCTCCAGAGCCCATTATATCACTCAGTGGAGAGTCTTCAACATTCAGGGTGGAATCTTCAGGGTGTGGCCCTCTATCCATTGCTTTCCAACGTTTGTACTCTCTGCTTTGTGAATAGAGGCCTGTTCTCCCTGTCTGCCTTGTTCAAGTACCTTTGCCGTTTTCCTTGCTGGGATGACATCCTTTGCCCTGAAGTTCTCATTAACCATACCATAGATGTCCTCTTCTTACCTCAATACATCCAAGGCTACCTCAAGTTATAACTTCTCCTTTAGTTTTTCCCTAGTGTCTGAGTTCAAATGGGCTTCTCTATATCCAGAATATCTACCACCTGTCTTATCTTTCCTCACACGTGGCACGTGCAGTTCCTTCCATCTACTTTCATAATGTTGTATTTTAACGGTTCAGTTGTGTTTATATTACACTCTTCTGTCAGGCAAACAAGGGTATTTATATGGCTGAAATCTACGGTATTTTTTAAATGTAGTAAAATGTAATGAATAAGCATACAAATGAATGAGTTAATTAATCTGTTATATTCTTGGTTAAGTAATGAGCATTATGAGGACAAAAATTGAGTCTTACACCTTCTTATAATCCTAAAGACCTAGTACAGGACTTGGAATATAGCATTCACTTAAGACATCTTTGCGACTAATGAATTTAAATATTTTTATTAATTCTAAGTTGACGTATGATTGTAATTTGGGGAAGGTAGTGAAATTTCAAATGGCTTTCACCACCTGTGAAATGACCCTTTTTACCTACCACATGATTTACCAGATCTTTGTTTAGGTGAACCTAGGCGAAAGCAGATTGTTTCCTCTACTTAGGAAATACTTCGCACATTTTCGTTGCTTATAAATTTGATGATTTTAATTTGTACAGTTATAATTTATGATATTGACTTGTACAGTTATATATATTTTACATATAATAGATATTATATATTATATATAGATATACTATATATAATTTTATTTTCTAAAGTAAAGAATATCATTACACATTAACAAAATAGATATAACTGTTTTCTTTCTACTATTTGTTACTGGTGTATACTGCAAATCCCTAATGGATACTGAAATTCTTATCTCTAAGCCCCTCTATGACTATGAAAAGAAATGGGTTCAAGTTTATTTTAAAAATCAAAGAGTTTATTAATAACATTATTGTTATCATGTCCAATTGATACTATCATTATTAAAAAGTTTAATCACTTATTTCTTGAAGGACCTAATTAGGAAATATATATGTGTGTGTATATCTATATTCTATCTATATATATCCTATATCTATATTCCATATATATTCTATATCTATATTCTATATCTGTATTCTACATATATTCTATATATAGTCTATCTATATTCTATCTATATCCTATACATATTCTATCTATATCCTATATATAGTCTATCTATATTCTATCTATATCCTATATATAGTCTATCTATATTCTATCTATATCCTATATATAGTCTATATATATTCTATCGATATCCTGTATATAGTCTACATATTTTCTATCTATATCCTATATATAGTCTATATACTCTATATATCCTATATAGTCTATGTATATTCTATATATATCCTATATAGTCTATGTATATTCTATATATATCCTATATAGTCTATGTATATTCTATATATATCCTATATAGTCTATGTATATTCTATATATATCCTATATAGTCTATGTATATTCTATATATATCCTATATAGTCTATGTATATTCTATATATATCCTATATAGTCTATATATATTCTATATAGTCTATATATATTCTATATGTTTATCCTATATATATTCTCTATACATATTCTATATATATATAGACACACACACACACACACACATATATAGTAGCCTGATATTTAAAAAATAAGATTGGGACTGCATAAAATAAGCTCACCCAGACAATAGGGGTACAGACATATGTATAATTCAGCAAGAACTGGTAACAAAGTGAGATATGTCAACTCTTTGTAGCATATTGTTAAGTAGTATTAAAAAACAAGTAATTTTTGGTTGGGTCCATTGAGAGAATAACATTATTTTTAGAATGATCTAATGGCACAATAAGCATTTTAGCATTTTACCTGCAAAAGCATTATAGCTGTGCCAGTTTCTGTTCCAAGAAAAAAACACATTGGTGTATTCTCTAAAGGAGGAAATTCTGACCTCAACTATGTTCAGATAGCTGTGGCAGATAATACTCTGATCAGGTACTAAGTCATATATCTTTCACATTTCCCTTTGCTAGTTATACTCAGCATGTGGTTGGAAATGGAATCAAAGCCCAGTCTGGAAATCCTGAAGTCAAAGTCAAAGGAACTGATCCTGTGATAAATCAGATTATTGATAAACTGAAGCATGTTATTCAGGTAAGTCCTGATCCTATATTTTTTGGTATAGCCAATAATAAATAATAAGTGGTCACTTTCTGTTATACTTGATAAATTTGTTAACCCTATCAGATAATCCTGCCTAAAATATTGTAACACATTATTTGTATCAGGACTTTTGGGAATATTTAGTTTAATGATTTTTGTATGCAGTCAATATGCAGTGGTATTTTAATGTTGGACAATCTGTATATGTGAAAAGCAAGCCTCAGCCTCAGCATTTCAATAATGAGAATCTCAGGACATGCATTGTCTTCAGTGAATAAGTTTGAACGTGGGAATCACTGTGACCATTAAAGAAAACACATAGAAGACCATAGAAGATGCCAGAGTTTTCTTTCAGGTAATTCTCTGAATGTTGCTATGAAGGTTTTTGCAGCATTTCAATACAAATTAGGTCATAGATGAATAATATGTACTTCTAATATTTATTTCCTATATCACCTTTTATATGTTATCTTATAATCTACCTAATGGTTGTTTATGAAATACTTCTCTTTTATCTTCAATAATATTTTTCATCAAGTGAGTGTGTATTGCTGTTTTTAATACATGACAAATGAAGCATGAACATATTTATCAAAATAATATTTCATTGAAATAGTCTATTAATTAGAACCAAACATGATGTTGCATGTTGTAAATATTACTCTGCATTCTGCATCTATTGATGTTTGGGGAAAGAAAGGCTATTTTTTTTTTTTAGTTAATAGTCATTTTATAAAAATTTATATTTGAATATACTTTCATTTTTCCTAAGCAGAACTTTGCATGGCTAGCTGATGCTTATTTCTAGTATCGTGCATCAGAAACAATACCTAAATAGTACAGAGTTTTTATTGCATACAACATATTCCAGAGCCAGTAGTAGGCTTCTCATAATTGTTCTGCAAAGACAAAGCTTAAGTTTATGCAGAGCCAATTCCTGGGTTTCCATTTTTCACGAGTCCCTATCTCTCAAGGAGAGGATATGTAAGAAGGACTTGGGGGTTGGTGTCCAATACCGTAGACTTCTCCCTTCTGTGAGGCAACAATGCTTATTCTACCATTGATACCTATAGAAAACAGCTCTCACCCTGGCTGGCAAAACCAAAAATAAATTCTATTGGAAAAGTCTAAGAGAAAAGTGGTATCATGACTACTGATGAGTTAAACCTTCCAGCCTCTGCTGAGCTGGTCCAGTTGGTACCTCACAGTATCGTCCACTGTAGTATAATATGTACAGCTAGATTATTTGAAAATTCGACCGCATAATTGATAATAAAACCAAAAGAGCTTTAATATTAATGTTCTCTCATTGAGGAGTGAGTACAATCTCACTGTGAGGACACAGTGAAATCTTAGGGGTTTCTTAAGTGGGGTAAGCATTCCACAGAGGATGGAGGAAGAAAAACTAGAACTTAAATATATATTTATTCCATCTCATTCTTTTATATTTCTTTGGTTGTAGTAAGGTATATAAAATATGTAATATATTAGTGCAATAGCATATACATATAATTTATAAATACATAAATATACATATTAACTGGACATTTGTTCAGATTGTTTTTCTAAGATATATACATGATGAAAGCAGAACAGAGACCCTGTTACAGATAATAAGGATAGAGCTGTTCCATGAGAAGTGCCGTTATAAGAAAACACATTCACAGAGGAACACATAGATACCCAAGATAGAAAGGATTATAAAAACCCTTAGGAGGAGGGCTCATATATTTATTACCCATTCAGCAACCCCCCTCCCCATTTCTTGTTTCGTAGGTTTCAAAGCCTTTTCAAGGTGGCAGAGGGAAGTCATCCTGCCTTTCTTTTTTAGCTTCTGTGTGAACTTGAGTCCCATTCTTTATTCTTTATAGGAGTGTGCAGATCTCCAATTATTCATGCTTAAGTTTCATTCTGGGGTTGCAAGAGAATATAAAATGCAGTGCTACCTTTGAGGTCTATCATTTTAAGATCTGCTAGATTTATATGATAGAAATGTAGATTTTTATAGAGGACAGCGGAAAGTCATATCTTGCACAGGTGTCACTGAAAATTTACCTTTAATATCTAAGAATATGCTCTTTCATGAACTGCTCTCCTGGAGATGAAGAGAAGTGTTTTACTTTGCCAATTTTTTTTTTTTTTTTTTTTTTTTTTTTTTTTGAGACAGAGTTTCCCTCTTGTTGCCCAGGCTGGAGTGCAATGGCGCGATCTCGGCTCGCTGCAACCTCCGCCTCCTGGATTCAAGAGATTCTCCTGCCTCAGCCTCCAGAGCAGCTGGGATTACAGGCACGTGCCACCACAGCCCGGCTAATTTTTTTTGTATTTTTAGTAGAGACAGGGTTTCTCCATGTTGCTCAGGCTGGTCTCGAACTCCCGACCTCAGGTGATCCACCTGCCTCGGCCTCCCAAAGTGCCGATTACAGGCGTGAGCCACGGCGCCCGGCCTACTTTGCCAAACTTTTGACTACTGATGGTGTACGCGTGCCCTGGCAGGGATGGCCATTGTGCTGTCAGTATCAAGGGATGGCTAACAGCACCCACCACAATGTCAGCTATGAAAGGATTCAGAAAATAGCCTTCTGTAAGTCAGAATTTATTAATTAAGGAGTAGGGCCATGGAAGATGTCAACATAGGAATAGGTTTCAGATTCTAAACTGTAGATTTAGATGATCACTTCTTAGTGTTTGTATAAAATTTACTTTATTTTTTATTATAACATGAAGTTCGCTTTCCACCTTTATACTATGAAAAATGCCGTGTCTCACAATAGGGACATACCTGTGTTAAAGTATATGGAAGTAAATCAGCCACAATAGCAAACATTGCCTGCATGGACTCACCCAAAAATGCCTTTCTTGGCCTGCCATTGATCTGAACCTCATTTCTACCTTGCATTGTCTGCAATTAGAGTCACTAAGGAAGTAGATAAAGATTTTTACTTGGAAAATGTCACTTTTTAATGTTTTAATAATTAATTCGTTCAAGATACTCAACAAATGCTCACTGAGTTTCTAGTACGGTCCTGGTTCTGTACAGGCACTGAGGTTAAAGTTGTGAATAAAGCAGACACAACCCTGCTCTCATGGGCTTTCCATTGTAAGAAAAAAGTAAATAAACAAACCAATGAAACCAGTATTGTAGCTGACACATGTTATGCACAAAACCAAACAAGGTGAGGTAAGGAAAGATATTTAAGAAGAGTGTGCTGGTGAAGGCCACTCAGGGGCAGATGTTTGGGTTGATGCTGAATAAGGAGAAGAAAGGAGTCATGGGAAAACCTGTGAGAACTGTGTCTGGGGCAGAAGGCAAAGTAGGTGTAAAGGCCCTGTGGCAGGAATAAGTTTATTTTATTCAGAGAACAGAAGGCCAGGTGGCTAAAACAGAGTGAGTTAAAGGGAGGAGATAAACATACATCATGTTTTGGGGAGTCCAGTAGGCTCTGGTAAAGAGTTTATATTTTCTCCTAAATAGACTAAGAAGTCATTTTAAAACTGTAAGCAGAAACTAGCTGCGCGCAGTGGCTCATACCTGTAATCTCAGCACTTTGGGAGGCTGAGGTGGGTGGATCACCTTAAGTCAGGAGTTTGAGACCAGCCTGGCCAACATGGTGAAACCCCATCTCTTCTAAAAATACAAAAATTAGCTGAGCACGGTGGAGCGTGCCTGTAATGCCAGCTACTGAGGAGGCTGAGGAAGGAGAATCGCTTGAACCCAGGAGTCGGAGCCTGCAGTGAGCCAAGATCGCGCCACTGCACTCCAGCCTGGATGACAGAGCAAGACTCCTTCTCAAAATAAATAAATAAATAAAAATACATCACAAATTTAATAAATAAATAAATAACTGTAAGCAGAAGCTGATACAATTTAATACATGTTTTATGAGGACTTCACTATGAAAACTGGACCCTGCGTACAAGAATGGAAAAAAGAAAGTAACACAGACAGAAGGCCACATAATTGGAGCTAGAATAATAAGAGTGGATAAGCTGAGAAGTGCATAGATTTAGACAAATATTGGAAGCGGGGTTTTTAGGATTTGTTAATGGATTGGAAATTTGGGAGACGGAAGAAAGATGATAGCGAGGTTTGGTGGGATGATAGTGTCACTAAGTGAGAAAAGGAATTCTGAGAGAGGAGCAGGCCTGGCGGAGGGTCCCTGGGATTGATTAGAAATCAGTGGTTTTGTTAACTGTGAGATGCTTGTTAGATGCCCAAGAGGGATGTGCAGAACTCAGGGAGACCACACAACTGGAGGTGTATGTTTGTAAGCATCAGCACGTGGATAGTATTTAAGCCCTGAGATTGTATAAGGTTGTCACCTTTCCTTTAGAGTATAAATTCACACCAAAACTATTGGTGGAGATGATAGGACAAGGGAATCATACAAAAAAAATTGTACTGCAAAAAGCTATGAATGAATAAAACATTTCATTAAATGTATTTGGCACCTTGTATATACTTAGTTGATCTAGGACAGAGAAGATAGTAACATTCATTTTTTCTTACTGTAAGAATAATGACCCAGGAGGCGGAGGCTGCAGTGAGCTGAGATCAGGCCACTGCACACTAGCTCTAGCAGACAGAGTGAGACTCCGTCTCAAAAAAAAAAAAAAAAAAAGAATAATGAATGCTCATCAGAGGGAATTGAATTTTATTATTCTAGGAAATCTGATGGAAAAAGTGAAAAATAAATATTGATACCATTTATAAAACAATGAAAAGACTTATAAGAGAAGCCATCTAGGCTTTTCTCTATACTTAATTATACATATAAATACATCAGTACTTTACTTCAAAAAATAAGATCATAGGGTACATTTGATTTTATGATCTGAACTGCTCACCTGACCACACAAAACAAATACTTTACCATGACATTAAATAGTCTGCTCTCTGGTTGTTAGTGCTGGCATACTATTCTATCATATGGAAAAATTACAGTTTTCCTCCACCCAGTCACCGAAAGTTGGATATTTAGGATGCGACCAGTTTTTCATGATAATAAAGACTAATAGGAACAGCAGTAGACACAAGATGTTTTTGGCATCTTTTTTTTCTTGTAATACGTTCTACATATTGAAACTAATAATTGTATTTTGCTACATATTGCCACGTTTTTCTCAAGGAAAATTATAGCTAACAGAAAGTGTCAGCTTTCTCTGTGTGTTAAGGGTGTGGGTGGAAGCTCGGCAGTGACGCTGAGACATATTGGTATGGAACATCATTGGACTCTCTAGAGATCAAGGTAGCAGTCCTGTAGAAATGTTAGCCCGAGCTATGTGTCACCTGGGAGTACTCCAAGGACGGCCAAAAGAAATATTTTAGTTAGAAGACAATTTATAAGAAAAGTTTAGAGGCTTCCTAGAGAGGTCATAGCATACACAATTTTATTTCATCCTTTAGGGCAAGCCATATACATATGTTCTGCGCACATCTCCTCCTGCACCCTCCTCAAAAAAAAAAAAAAAAAAAAAAAAAAAAAAAAAAAAGCTGAGATCTGATGTAAATAGATAGCTGTGAATTATAGCTTGGTCCTTAAGGAATATCTCAGAAACTTCAATGTTCCTTCACCCCCTCCGCAAACCCTTCTGAATTGAGAATGGGAACCTTGGCAACAGAGGGGAGTCATGCACCTCCCTTTTCCATCTGTGACTCTGACATCTTCCTCCAGGTCAGCCATGGTGCAAACTCTCACAGTTACTTTCTGGCAGTTTCCTGCATTCCAAACCTGTTTCTGAAATGGGCAATATTTGTCCCCTTGAAAATCACCTGTGATAAATGTGGTATAGCCCATGGCCAGTGAAAATTTTCCTACACGGAGACATATTCCTAAGTGTTAACATTAACTTTTTCAGATGTTTGAGTCAGACTCAATTGCCCTTTCATATTATAGATTGAAAACAACACTTGGTTGATGTTAGTATATCTGATTGAGGAAATATGAGAGCCTTTTTAATTTAGATTTGCTCGCCTAGAAAACTCACTTTGAAACTTCTTGGTCATGTTATGTTTGCTTATGGCAAAGTTATCAGCAAAAAAGTCACTGTTATGCAGCAATTTATCTTTAAACACTAAATGACATCTATCATTTTTCAAAGAAAATAATGTCAGCAGTTAAAATCCTAACTGCTTGAGCACTGTTAGTTGACAATTATAATGCCCCATTGCTTAGAAATTAATTGACCTACTTTCAATAAGAAACATAAAAAGTAATATCACAGCAATTTTCTGGATCTATTTTATTCCAAAACCAATAAATGTTACAGTGTTGTTAAAAGTAATAGATTTAAAAACATTTTATTTTCTTAAACTTAACAATTCAAATAACATAAAATAATATTACGTTTCTATTAAGTATTCATTTTTATACAGACCAAAAGTTCTTTAGAAAATGTCTTCATGTATAATATAAATTTGATTTTTAGATGTGAGAAAAGCAACAATCATAATCGTTGCCTAAATCCACAAAATAAGTAGATATTCTATAATATGTATTTCAGTAATCACAATGTATTGGATTCAGGCAGAGATGAGAGACACTCTGATTTTAGCAGAAAAAGACTGTGTTAAATTACCTCTTTGCCTTTTCTCACTCTGTTCCTAGGATAGCAATATAATAAATAGTAACTTTAGAACGGGGATACACTGAGAAAATGTTCTAATTTAAATCTCAATAGATGATTACACAGGTAGTGTTTACACACACACACACACACACACACAATGACAGGAGTTTTTAAAGATATTAGTATCTCGGAATTTTTGAATTCTGAAAACTGTCCAAGCTTTTATCATTAAATCACTTGTTATGAAACCCATTTTAGAAACACGCTTTCCTATTTTTAATAGCCTATGATAGTCATACAGAATGAGTTAATCAAAATTGATTGGTCAATTGCTAATTGCAAATTCTTTGACCGTAGCATGTCAGCTGATTCTATGAACTTCTACAGACTCTTTCCCTTGGTCCGGGAATTGCCACAACACTCTGACTCCTTTCCCCACAACTCCCTTACATGATATTGTCACCTCCCCAGGCTTACGATACTAATATTCCAGAGAGACGAACAGTCCTTGATTTTGAATAGCAATGCAGTAGTGACCAAAACAGATTTAGTTTTGGTTCAGAAGAAAGTGCTGGATATGCCCTCAGTAACTTTCCATGGTCATCTAATTCAGCAATTAGTTTGAGTAAATTCAATGGAAGGCTGCTTTCTGGAATGGGTAGTGTAATGTACTGACTTCCCTATTAGACATTTCATTTAAAAAAATCAATTGTCCGCATAAAACAACCATTTCAATCAGTGTACATTCAACTGGAAAGGAAAGTTAGAGGACTTTTTTTGAAAGTAATGGGATTGGGGTTGGCCGTTGCTAATTTCTTTTTGATTAACGCGTATGTAATTGTTTTGTGTTGGATAAAAATTTGACTTTTTATTTGCGCGGATGCTGCTGATCTTATATGTTATCATTTCCCATTCAGACTTGAGCTGTTTACCTGCCGGGTTTTCTGTTCATAAAATGTTGAAAGGACGTTAAAATGTAGAACTTTTACATTTTTTATTTAGGTGACTAGGACAAATTCTGGTAATTTGTAGGCTACAACTTAAATGTATTTCTGCTTAAAATATTTTGAAACATGGTTTATTTCACAAATGAGGTTCCAAACTATAACCAGCTCTCACTAAATTCTTATTTATTTATTTATTTTGAGACGGAGTCTTTCTCTGTCACCCAGGCTGGAGTGCAGTGGCCGGATCTCGGCTCACCGCAAGCTCCGCCTCCCGGGTTCACGCCATCCTCCTGCCCCAGCCTCCTGAGTAGCTGGGACTACAGGCGCCCGCCACCACGCCCAGCTCATTTTTTGTATTTTTAGTAGAGACGGGGTTTCCCCGTGTTAGCCAGGATGGTCTGGATCTCCTGACCTCGTGATCCGCCCGCCTCGGCCTCCCAAAGTGCTGGGATTACAGGCGTGAGCCACCGCGCCCAGCCAAAAGATCATTTTTAAATTATGTATCTGGGAATATATTATCAAACCAGGCCTGAAACTTATTAAAAAGATGGTAAAATCTAATTTAACTTCATTTAATACTCCTTTTCTCTTAGTCTTATAAAAGCAAATGAGCTTGTTGGCTTTTAATTATGAAAATATAATTTTAATTTATAAGACATATGTAACAAAGCAAGATAGCTGCTAAATTCACTCTATCCTAGTAACTTCCTATTGCATACATTCATTTTTAATGTAATAAGAAAATCCTTTCAAAATTTTTAAAAGAATCACATTACCCAAGAAGAGGCTCAACATTTCTAGAAAATAAATATGTTCTTAAGACACTTAATAATTCTTGAAATGAAGACCTAATTCTTCAGGGCTTTAAAATATTTGATGTGCACTCTTTACATATATAGAGAGTTTAAATTTAATAATTTCCCTTCTTAAAAAATAAGTGAAACATACCACAAACATATCAAAGCAAGTTATTCATACTTCTCATTTAAGTAACTGTATTGTCATAGCAAAATTATTTTATATCATCAAAAAGCACAAAAGCCTTATTAGAATACTAATTTCAATGTCTGTTTCACAGATTTGCTCAGAATAGATTTTTTCATGCTTCTGCACTAATTCATTGAAGGACAATGTTTTACCGATTCCTGAAAAAATATCATTATCTGCCCCATAGTGGTGGCTCATGCCTGTAATCCTAACACTTTGGGAGGCTGAGGCTGGCAGATTGCTTGAGCCCAGGAGTTCAAGACCAGCCTGGGCAACATGGTGAAAACTCATCTCTACCAAAAAAAAAAAAAAAAAAAGGAAAAAGTTAGCCGGGCAAGGTGGCGGGCACCTGTAGTCCTAGCAACTGAGGAGGCTGAGGTAGGAGGATCACCTGGGCCTGGGAGGTTGAGGTTGTGGTGAGCCATGATTATGCCACTGCATTCCAGCAGTGGGTGACATAGTGAGATCTTGTATCAATAATAATAAGATAAAATAGAAAATAAAAATATCATTAACTGACATTTTAAAAAGTATATTTCCCAATGTATAAATATACTTTGTGGATTAACAAGAGAAAAATTTCAAGATACTGTAAATTTAAAACAAATCTTTATGTATAATACCATCGTAATGTCTTTGACCAGCAGCAATCTATCATGTGAGATAAAAAATATTAAATATGCATTTATTGCATAAATGAATGAAAATCATGATTACCTTGATCACTATATTTAAAATTTAAATGAAGCAGGAAAGTAAATCTTCCTAATTATCATATACTTAACTGTTTAAAATCACTCTAATAACAAGTAATATGTTAATTTTGAATTATAATTTTAAAATGCCTGTATTGTTTCATTCACTCATCCTTCCATTAGTTCAGTGAACAAATATTGATTACTTACCCACTATGTGCCAGGTATCATCATAGATTCAGGGAGTACAAAAATGATTAAACGAAGGGATCAGCTGGAGTGACCGTTTTCTAGAAACAATGCCTATTTCAGTTATGAACTAGTCTGTTTTGAAGAAAGTGGTGAGGGAAAGCTGAAAATCCTATTTTCACTTTATTCAACAAATCTTATTGAGGTCTTATTATGAATCAGGGGCTCTCCTAGGTATGGGCATACAAAATTGATTAAGACTGTGCTTGCTTGCAGAAAACAAACAAAAAAGCATCTCTATAATAAAAAGGAAAAAGAGGAAATTCCCTTTGTAGGTTTCATAGTTTATAGTGATACTGCTGATGTTGTCTCAGAGAATTAGTCACAATTATAGGAACTCAGAAGGCATTCCGTTGAGATGAAATAGAGACTAAATTAGCAGAGATTACTTAGTGAAATAACAATTCGAACATAGTTATAATTCATTTTAGAAGATATTATGGCTCACACATAGTAGATGTGATGACTGAATAACAGGAATGTGGAACGATGGCACCTTGGTAGCCATTACCCATTGCCAACATGATTCTGCATTAAAAAATCTGTGCAAAACGGCCGGGCACGGTGGCTCACGCCTGTAATCCTAGCACTTTGGGAGGCCGAGGAGGGCAGATCACGAGGTCGGGAGATGGAGACCATCCTGGCTAACACGGTGAAACCCCGTAACTACTAAAAATACAAAAAATTAGCTGGGCATGGTGGCACGCGCCTGTAGTCCCAGCTACTCGGGAGGCTGAGGCAGGAGAATCGCTTGAACCTGGGAGGTGGAGGTTGCAGTAAGCTGAGATCGCGCCACTGCACTCCAGCCTGGGCGACAGAGTGAGACTCCATTTCAAAAAAAAAAAAAAAAAAAAAGAACACAACTTTGGAGTATATTAATAAACATTGTGTTTTTTTTAAAAAAAATTTTTAATCTTTAATTTCCGTTTTCACATATTTCTTCTTGCTTCCAAAAGGAAAGGAGTGGGTAGCTCTGTTGTACACCGTCCACGGCCCCTGGATCCGGGCGGGGTCCCCCGGGCCACCTGGGGGTCCACATGCAGCCCCCAGGAGGCCGGTGCGGGGTGAGGTCCGGGGGCCGCCTTATTGCTGAGGTCCGGCCGGTTGGGGCCCCGGCGGCCGCTAGGCGCTCTGGCTGCGCAGCTCCTGGGAGATGAAGCGGCGCAGGCGCTCCAGGTACTGGCTGTAGAGCTGGATGTCTTTGTGCCCGGCGCCCTCCACCCACAGCGGCTCCACAGCCTTGGGGCAGCGCTCCTAGAGCGCCAGCCCCTGCGAGAAGTCGATCACCTCGTCTTTCGTGCCGTGGATGATGAGCACGGGCGACGTGATCTTGGACACCTTCTGGATTCTGCGGGAGGGGCGTGGGGCGGGTGAGAACTCTCCGGGCCCGGGCCCCGCCCCGCCCCGCCCCCGTCCCCGACCCAGTCCCCGTCCCCGCCCCTGTCCCTGCCCCAGCCTGCTCACTTGGGGAAGGCGTCGAAGCAGTAGGTCTTCTTGGTGTCGGGAAGGCGACGCTCAGGTCCAAGGTGAGCGGCGAGTGCAGCACCACCGCGGCGGACTCGTAGCGCGAGGCCAGGTCCACGGTGGGCACTGTGCCGATGCTCTGCCGGTACAGGATGATGCTGTCCGGGCTGATGCGGTACCTGGCGGCACCGGAGCAGGGTCAGCCGCGGCCTCCGACTCGCGCGCACCCCTCCCGCCAGCGGGCGTCCCCGGGCCCAGCTCCAGATGCGACTCTCCAGTCTCCCGGCTCAGCCTAGTCAGTGGGTCAGGCCCAGGCTCCACAGCAGTCCCAAGGGCCACCCCCAGTCCCCCAAGACCGCAGCGGTGGGCGGAGCCGGCGGCCTGGTCCTGTTCCCTGGCGCTATGGTTCACTGGCGTTTCCTAGCCAGGATCTGCTGGATCCTGGCTAGGGAGTCCCCCTCGGGCTAGGGTAGGGGAAGCCCTGGCGCCTCTCCTTCTCTTGGTCATCCCTGGGCGCACACTGGGAACTGTGTGCCCCCCCACATCCTGAATGCTTCACGCCTTCCTGCCCAGGTTAGAAAGCCGTTCCTGGTGCACTGGCCGGAACAGGGTACACTCTTCCTCCCTGCAGCCCTTGCCCACCCCCTTGGCCATGAGGAATTC